>NC_000010.11:19403939-19555454 GCF_000001405.40 Homo sapiens | reverse complement strand
CCACTTCCTTCAAATGTTTGCTCAAAGTTACATTCTTAATGAGGCCCACTCTGACCTCCATGGTTGTAAAAATGAAGTCCTACCCAGCTTTCCCAATCCTCCTACGCTACTTTACTTTTGATGGGGTTTAGATGTTTGTCCCCTCCAAATCTCATGTTGAAATGTGATCCCCAATGTTAAAGGTGAGCCTGGTAGGAGGTGTTTGGGTCATGGGGGCAAATCCCTCATGAATGGTTTGATACCCTCTTCTGAGTAATAAGTGAGTTCTTGCTGGTTGTTTAAAGAAGCCTGGCCACATGAGCTCAACATCACTGATCATTAAAGAAATTCAAATCAAAAACACAATGAGATATCATCTCATGCCAGTCAGAATGGCGATTATTAAAATGTCGAGAAACAACAGATGCTGGAGAGGCTGGAGAAATAGGAATGCTTTTACACTGTTGGTAGGAATGTAAACTAGTTCAGCCATTGTGTAAGACAGTATGGCGATTCCTCAAAGATCCAGAACCAGAAATACCATCTGACCCAGCAATCCCATTAGTGGGTATATACCCAAAGGAATATAAATCATTCTATTACAAAGATACATGCATGCATATGTGCATACAGTAGCAAAGAAATGGAATCAACCCAAATGCCCGTCAATGGTAGACTGGATAAAGAAAATGTGGTACAAAAAATGTGGTGCATATACACCATAGAATGCTATGCAGCCATAAAAAGGAACAAGATCATGTCCTTTGCAGGGACATAAATGGAGCTGGAAGCCATTATCCTCAGCATGCTAACACAGGAACAGAAAACCAAACACTGCATGTTCTCACTCATAAGTGGGAGCTGAACAATGAGAACACATGGACACAAAGAATGGGACAACACACACTGGGGCCTGTGGGGAGTGGGGTTGGGGAGGGAGAGCATTAGAAAAAATGGCTAATGCATGCTGGGCTTGATACTTAGGTTATAGGTTGATAGGTGCAGCAAACTACCATGGTACACATTTACCTATGTAACAAAGCTGCACATCCTGCGCATGTACCCTGGAACTTAAAATAAAAATTTAAATTAATATAAAAAGAAAGAGCAAGCTTGGCACCTCCTCCTCCCTCCACCTCTTGCTCCTGCTCTCAGCACGTGACATTGCCTGCTACCCGTTCGCCTTCTACAATGATTGGAAACTTCCTGAGTCCTCACCAGAAGCAGATGCTGGAACCCAGCTTCCTGTAGAACCTACAGAACTGTGAGCCAAAACAAACCTCCTTACTTTATAAACTACTCAACTTCAGGTATTTCTTCTTAGCAACACAAGTGGACTAATACAACTTTGTTCCATAATCCTTAAAGATACTACCCAACCTACTTATTACATCTTCTGCTTACTGCCTGTTTCTTTCACTGTAATATAAATGCTATAAAAGCAGGGGATTTTGTATGTTTTGCTTATTTATGTACCCTAAATGCCTAGAGCACTGCCAGGCACATAATAGGAGCTCAACAAATATTTGCTAAAGAATGAAAGAATGGGAAAGTTAAGGATTTAAGAACTTTAGAGTTAGAAAGGACCTTGGAGATCTTCTAGTCTCAAACTTCCTAGGAGACGAGAGAGAATAAGGGACGTGCCTATGTTACTCACCATCAGTAATGGAAGTAGAGTAGAATCTCACGTGTATCACTGGGTAATTGCTGCCACATCACAACATCATGTATGCTACCTCCATCTAGTTTAGAATATTTTCATCATCTATTTATTACAGGGAGAATAATTTAAATACATATGCTCAGAGCTGAGATATATTACTGATAAATCAGGTAATAAAATTTATTTGATCAATGGAATTTTGAAGTAGATTTGATTTTATTCATCAGTTTCTGAATAACAAAAAGCCCCAGGTTTCAATTTAAATAGGGGATTTAAACACTAGAAATCAGAGAATTTAGTTATGAAAAGTATAAAATTTTTTAAAACACAGTACAAGCTGTTGAAATGATAAATGGATTTTTTTAATGATGTAACAAAATATTTTTATATTCTGACATATTGGTTATTAGCCAGAAAAACAGCACAACCAAATGTCTTGACTTAAAATGTATTGATAACATGAGATATATGAAGAATTCAATATATACATATATCCATACATATATACAGAAAACTATTTTTTAATATTTTCCTACTGATATGAAATTTTAAATTGGAAATTTTGTGAGTGTTTTCCTTGTCCAACCATAGAGCCCAATTGTTTATTTTTTTAGTTATTTAACAGTTTCTTGAGGGCTGCACCTTTAAATTCCCAGATTGTCAATAACCACATACATTATATGGAATAAGGTGAACACGAGTGCATATATAAATAAAATAGTCCTCTTAGGACTTTTAAACATTCATTTCTAGTAGGAGAGTATCTAGAAATTATCATCTACAAGTCATAATTAGGATGTATGGCTACTATAGCTTTTTCCGTTTATGTATTATATAAATAAACACTTGCATATTAAAATTTGTTTTCTTCCAGGGACAAGTACAATATAATGTAACCACACTTAGATCAAACTGTTATATTTATCAGAAAATAATGTTGTGGACTATAGCTTGAACATGTGGACTGGAAGCATCATGGAGAAGGAGGGCAGGAGAGCAGAACTTGATGTTTATTGTGTATAAGTTATTACAGTGTAACTACTAATGCTTTGCAAAAGCAAACACTGAAAAAAAGAAAAACAAAATAATTTTTTTCTTTTGAAATTAAAAAATATTTCTACGATAATCAATTCATCAACTTATATAAAAGACAAATCCATCTACTTACAAAAACCAGGATTATTCACGTACTGTTGTGAGAGATAGTAGTGTTCTTAGTATGTTTACAAATAAGGATACAGACACACACACACACACACAAAAATTCAAAACATCAACAAATCCAGGCGCTGGCACTCTGAAAAAAATTAATAAAGTAGGTAGACTGCTAGCTAGACTAATAAAGAAGAAAAGAGAGAAGATTCAAATAAACACAACCTGAAATGATAAGGGTAATATTACCACTGACTCCACAGAAATACAAACAACCATCAGAGAATATTATAAATACCTCTATGCACATGAACTAGGAAATCTAGAAGAAACTGATAAATTTCTGGACATATACACCCTGAAATTGAATCCCTGAACAGGCCAATAACGAGTTCTGAAATTGAAGCAGTAATAAATAGCCTACCAACCAAAAAATCCTAGGACCAGATTAATTCACAGCTGAATTTTACCAGATGTACAAAGAATAGCTGGTACCATTCCTAGAGAAACTATACAAAAAAATTGAAAAGGAGGGACTCCTCTCTAACTCATTCTATGAGGCCAGCATCATCCTGATACCAAAACCTGGCAGAGATACAAGGAAAAAAAGAAAATTTCAGGCCAATATCTTTGATGAACATGAATGCAGAAATCCTCAAAAAAAATACTGGCAAACTAATCTAGCAGCACATCAAAAAGTGTATTTACCACAATCAAGTAGCCTTCATCCCTAGGATGCAAGGTTCGTTCAACATACAGAAATCAATAAATGTGATTCATCGCATAAACAAAACTAAAGACAAAAACCACATGATTATCTCAATAGATGCAAAAAGGCTTTCATTGAAATTCAGCATCTGTTCAGGTTAAAAACTCTCAATAAACTAGATATTGAAGGAATATACCTCAAAATAAGAGCCATACAAGACAAACCCACAGCCAATATTATACTCAATGGGCAAAAGCTAGAAGCATTCCGCTTTCAAGACAAGGATGCACTCTCTCACCACTCCTATTCAACACAGTACTCAAAGTCCAGGCCAGGGCAATTGGGAAAGATAAAGAAATAAAGGGCTTCCAAAAAGGAAGACAGAAAGTTAAATTACCCCTCTTTGCAGGCGACATGATCCTATATCTAGAAAACCCCACTGTCTCAGTGCAAAAGCTTCTTAAGCTGATAAGCAACTTCAGTAAAGTCTAAAGATACAAAATCAGCATACAAAAATCAGTAGCGTTCCTATATACCAGCAACAGCCAAGCCAAGAGCTGAGCCTGGAATAAAATCCCATTCACAATAGCAACAAATGAATAAAATATCTAGGAATACAGTGAACAGGGGAGGTGAAAGATCTCTACAATGAAAATTACAAGACAGTGCTGAAAAATATGGGAGATGACAAAAATATCAGAGACGATGGGAGGAAATATTTGCATACTGTGCATCTTATAAAGGTCTAATATCCAGCATCTGTAAAGAACTTAAGTTTATAGGAACAAAAACAACCTTATTAAAAATGTGCAAAGGATATGAACAGACACTTTTCAAAAGAAGACCTACATGCAGCCAACAATCATATGAAAAAGAAGCTCAATCAGTGATCTTTACAGAAATGCAAATCAAAACCACAATGAGATATCATCTCACACCAGTCAGAATGGCTATTATTAAAAAGGCAAAAAATAACAGATGCTGGCAAGGTTGTGGAGAAAAAGGAACACTTATATTGTGGAAGACAGTGTGGTGATTCCTCAAAAACCTAGAAACAGAACTAGCATTTTAACCAGCAATCCCATTATGGGGTATATACCGCCCAAAATATAAATCATTCTATTATAAAGACATACACATAGGTATGTATGTTCATTGCAGCACTATTAATGGTAGCAAAGACATGGAATCAACCTAAACCCCTATTAGTGATAAGGGATAAGGAAAATGTGGTACATACACACCATGGAATACTATGCAGCCATTAAAAAGAATGAGATCACATCCCGTGCAGGGACATGGATGGAGCTAGAAGCCATTATCCTCAGGAAACTAATGCTGGAACAGAAAACCAAATACCGCATGTTCTCACACTTAAGTGGGAGCTAAATGACGAGAACATGTGGACACATAGAGGGGAACCCACACACACTGGGGCCTATTGGAGGGTGGAGGTTGGAAGGAGGTAGAGGGTCAGGAAAAATAATTAATTGGTACTAGTTATTTGGCTTAATACAGGTGATGAAATAATAAAGAAAAAACCAAGACACATGTTTATCTATGTAACAAAACTGCACAGGTACCCCTGAACTTACAATTAAAAAGTTTAAAAAACATAATTACTTTGTTACACTAAAACTTCACCACAATTTCTGGGTTTGGATGTCACTGAATTATAAATAATCTAGGACATGTTGTAAAGAATGTATCATAGGCAAGTAGGGGAGCGGGTAATTATAAAAAACAAATCTTAGAACAATCAGAATTAGGATGAAATAACAATCTACAATTCAGCTGGGTCATTAAGGACTGAGGAAATAGATCACTGTTGTCTTTTTTTCACCTTTCTTACTTAAGATGAAGACCAAGAATCCCCCAGTTTTCTTTCTAACACCTCAAAGCAAATTAAATGGGTTTATATATATGAAATACTTTTTCAAACTATAAAGGAGTGTCCAAAATTGGTTGGTGATTATTTGTGATATAGAGAGGCATTGCTCTCTATTATATTCCAGAAGCATAAAACTTTCCCCCAATGTTTAACCTATTAGCCAGAAGGCTGAGCAATGTAATAGTTAGGAATTAGGAACCAGATTCCAATCCTGTCTCTGCCCAGATTAATTGAATGTTTTAGGCCAAGTTACTTAATGTCTTTAAATTTCAGTTTCCACTGCTATTAAATGAAAGACATTAATCAGCAGAGCTCAAAGATATTGCAGGTTCAGTTCCAGACTACTGCAATAAACCAAATATTGCAATAACATGAGTCATAAAAATCTTTCGGTTTCCCAGAGCATATAAAACTCATGTTTACACTATACTGTAGTCGGTTAAGTGTGCAACAGCATTATGCCTACAAAAAGCAATGTATATACCTTAACTTAAAAATATATTATTGCTAAAATATGCTAATGACCATCTCAGCCTTCAAGTCATAATCTTGCTGGTGAAGGGTCTTACTTTATTGGGCTGCTCACTGATTAGGGTGGTGATTGCTGAAGGGTGGAGTGGTTGTGGTAATTTCTTAAAACAAGACAATAAGTTTGCTGCACGATCGACTTTCTTGCTCAAAAGATTTCTCTGTAGCAAATGATGCTATTTGATAGCGTTTTACCCACAGTAGAACTTCTTTCAAAACTGAAGTCAATCCTCCTCCAACCTGCTGCGGCTTTATCAAGCACTCTGTCAGCACTTTCTGCTTCACTTTGCACTTTTATGTTAAGCAGGTGGCTTCTTTCCTTAAACCTCATGAACTAACCATCCTCTACTAGCTTCCAACTTTTCTTCCACAGCTTCCTCACCTCTCTCAGCCAAACTGAAGAGAGTTGGGTCTTGCTCTGGATTAGGCTTTGGCTTAAGGGAATGTCGAAGCTGGTTTGGTCTTCTATCCAGACCATTTAAACCTTCTCCATATTAGCACTAAGGCTGTTTTGCTTCATTATCATGTGTGTGTTCACTGGAGTAGCACTTTTAACTTCCTTCACGAACTTTTCCCTTGCATCCCCAACTTGACTAGCTGTTTGGAGCAAGACGTCTAGCTTTCAGCCTATCTCACCTTTCGACATGCTTTCCTCACTAAGCTTAATCATTTCTAGCTTTTGATTTAAAGTAGGAGAAGTGCTGTTCTTCCTTTCGCTTGAACACTTAAAGACCATTGGCCTTGAAGGGTTGGCCTAATTTGGATGTGGTCTTGTCTCAGGAAATAGGGAGGCCCGAAGAGAGGGAGTGACACAAGGGATCCACAGGTCAATCTAGCAGTCAGAACACACACAGTATTTATCAATTATATTCACCATTTTATATTACAGTTCATAACACCCCAGAAAAAAATACAATAGTAGCATCAAAGATCACTGATCACAGATCACCATAAGAAATATAATGAGGCCGGGCACGGTGACAATTTTAATAAGTCATAGAGTTGTTAGGGAGGATGATTCAGGCCAGTCACATCTTGCCAAAGATCTACTTTTACTTGGGTGATGGGTAAGTTAGAAGCGTGCAATTAATTTTCATTCAAAATAGATAACTAATTTAATAGGCAAAAATATTATGTCCACTTTAGAAAAAAAGGCACAGCAATTAAAACTTATAAACACTGGGAATAAGAAAGAAAAAAGAAAATCTAATCAACCCATCGAATGACTCAAGTAGGCCAGGCGTGGTGGTTCACGCCTGTAATCCCAGAACTTTGGGCGGCAGAGGGGGGCAAATCACCTGAGGTCAGGAGTTCGAGATCAGTCTGACCAACATGGTGAAACCCCATCTTTAGTAAAAATACAAAATTAGCCAGGGGTGGTGGTGCATGCTTGTAATCCCAGCTACTTGGCAGGCTGAGGCAGGAGAATTGCCTGAACTGGGAGGTGGAGGTTGCAGTGATCTGAGATTGTGCCATTGCACTCCAGCCCGGCCAACAAGAGGGAAACTTTGTCTCAAAAAAAAAAAAAAAAAAAAAAAAGTATAGTGATAAGAGAAAAGCTTGAAATGCTGGGAGAATTATCAAAATGTGACACAGAAACACAAAGCGAGCACAAGTTGTTGGGAAAATAGCAGCCATACATACACTTGCTGAATGCAATGTTGTTACAAACCTTCAATTTGTAAAAAAAAAAAAAAAAAAAAAAAAAAAAAAATATATATATATATATATATATATATATATATATGTATCTGTGAAGTTCAGTAAAATGGAGTACAATAAAATGAAGTGTGCTGTAGCTCCCTGATAGATCTGTTATTAGGTTTAAATTTAAGTGAAGTATGTCAATTCATTACCAACACCGAGCACATTTTATTACTATTGCTATTACACATCATATATATCTTATGGTGGAAAAAAGGAGCTAATATAGAAGGATAAGTCATGTCATGTTAATGAGAGTGGTAACTGGGGAATTTCATTATGAGAAGCTGGCATTCTTTTGTGGGATTAAAAAAATAATAATTTCAGATGTGGTTTTAGGTTTTTCAGATTTTTTTTTAAAGCATTGCTAAGGTCCTTGCAAATAAGAAGGATCAGAAGCAGAGAGCTTTAGAAATTTCGGAGTTTCTAATCCCTAGTGACTGGGTGTTGGACATAGGTTTCCTGTGTTCCAGTCGGGCAGTCGTTCTTCCACCTCACTTGGTTTGTAATAAACATCACTGAATGTCTCACAGGAGGAAGAACTGAAAAAACGTATAGCTACTATGCATGTGGAAATTGAAATGGCTGATTTGTATTTAGCTCTTCAACGTTGACCCCACATTATTTGAAAGAGACCAAGTAATTAGAAATAGGAGTAATCAGAAATAAAGCACCAAGAAAATGTCTCTTCATAGCAAAATGACCCATGTAGCATTTAATGTTAGTTAGCCCGACACTTAGAGGCTTTTCTCTCAATGAACAGTATCACTGCACAGACCACCTTCAGAATGCCTTCAAAACACCTTCCCTCAAATTGAAAGAAAATTTATACTGCAAGACAGCAAACAGGAAAAAAAATGAATTTCTAAGCTGAATTACTGTTCTTTTAGTAGGTTCTTCAAAAGTTGTAAATATTTAGAAAACTCATTTCTGGTTCTGATGGCTAACTGAAAACACACACTTACCTATACTCTCCAAAAATGTTCCACTGGAAAGACAGGAAAAACACTGACATAAATCAACAGAAGCAATGGAAAATCAGGATCACAGGTACTAGCTTACAGAAATAGTTAGGACTTTTTGGAGGTTTTAAATCAAATGGAAACTTTTTGATGAAAATACATAAACAGAACTGAGGCATTTGCAAACACCTACAGGTAAAAGAAAAGATCAGTACCAATGACAAAAATGTGAACTGTTCTAGCCAAATTCTGGAATAACTCAAAGGGACAAAGACCAAAGAGAAGAAGCTGTGCATATGTCACCATCTGGTAATTAATCCAAGGACTCCAGAAGAGCCAGGTTGATTCCTTGGGTTAGGAGTTGCTGATTCCAGCATTTGTACCCAGAACAGACAAGATGAGTAAATATTGCTGAAATGGAGCTCTGACACAGGAGTTTCCAAGAGTTTGTACTGAGACCAGAGAAATGATGCAATGTCCCTTACGACTGCCATAAAAATACGTGTACCTCCTTCAACACATAAACAAGCTAACAATACATCGTAAACATAAACACACTAGAAAACAGCTAGTGCTTTACATCAAAGAAATATGAAACCAGAGATGCTGAATCAGAATGCATATTCACTGTTAGGGGAAGGGAATTTCTTACTTGGTCTGAGAAGATAAAGCACACATAGTAATATTATTCAACCTAGACTCATCCATCTATAGAAATAGAACACTAAGTAACCAGACAGTTGTGAAAAACTGTAAAACAGAGACACTACATTAAACAGAATACTGAACACCATGGGAAAGACAGTTAACAGAACCAATGGGAAAATAAAGAAAGAAATATAATTAACTCTCTTGAGAGATTTGGGTGTCAGTCATACCTAACAGGCAAATATGAAAGGGGGAAGCATTCACAGTTCTTGGAAATTAACAGTATGATTGTAAAAATAAAAGCCTCACAGATAGACTGAATAGCAAAACTGACCCAGATTAAAGACCAAAAGGTGAATAGGAAAACTGAAAGAAGTGATCCTCTAAGACCACAGTGCCAGAGGACTAAAAGCTGAAAACGTCGTGAATTTACGTGAGGGGTTGGTGGGGAAAGGTCCAGAAGTTTGCAGATCTGTCTAATAATTTTCCTTGAAGGAGATAACCAAGCAAATTACAGCTGAAAATCTCCCTAAGGTGACGAATGATGAGGGCTCATTAAATTTCCAGGAAAATTTATGGATTCCAGGGAATAAAAAGAACATTTTATTCACATACGGGGAAAAGTAGGTAGTGTAAAAGTCCTGAAGGAGAAATAATCAGACAGACATCAGTCTTCTAAAAGGTAGGCAGGTACTGGATATTAGCATGCAATGCAGCCACATCTTCAATTACGTAAGGAAAAATAATTTTCAACCTAGAAATCTATACCCAACCAATCTTTCCAATATAGACACGATTGCTTTTTTCAATCAAGAACTCAAAAGGTTAGCATTTTGCACTTATCTGAAATGCATATGAGCAAAACATACTGTTACAGGATGAATGTATTCCCCTAAAGTTCATATGTTGCAGCCCTAAACCACAGAACCTCAGAATGTGACTGTATTTTGAAACAGGGCCTCATTAAGTTATAATGAGGCTGTTAGGGTAGGCTCTAATCCAATGTGAATGATGCCCTTATAAAATGAAAAAATTTAGACATAAGAAGAAACATGAGGGATAGATATGCCTGCATAGAGGGAAGACCTTGTGAGGACAGTGGAAAGGTGACCAGTGACCAGTCAAGGAAGAAGCCTCAGAAGAACCCACACCTGCTGACACCTTGATCTTGGACCTCCAGCCTCCATGATTATAAGGAAATACATTTCTATTGTTGAAGCCACCCAGTCATGGTATCTTGTTATGGCAACTCTAGCAAGCTAATATGCATATCAAACAAAAAGAATCCAATATAGTAGACTGCATAGGCATTAATAAAGAGTGGTGAGCAAAGATAACTTGCCCACTGCTTGATATTATCATCAAGTAAAATGCATAGTTTTACTTGATGATAACATACTGTGAATTGAAAAACTGAAGAGAGGTCATGGTCATTTTTATGAATATGATTGCCAAGAAGGTAGAGAAATGATTTGCACTTTAGTTCCAGACAATTTTAATAAGTCATAGAGCTGTTAGAGAGGATGATTCAGGCCAATCAAATCTGACCAAAGATCTACTTTTAGTGGGTGGTGGGTAGATTATTAATTTTCATTCATAATAAATACTTTAATAGACAATAAAAATTCGTCCACTTTAGAAAAAAAAAAAGGCACAGCAATTAAAACTTATAAACACTGGGAATAAGCAAGAACAACAGAAATCTAGCCAACCCATCTAAAGACTCAAGTAGGCCTGGTGTGGTGACTCACGTCTGCAATCCCAACACTTTGGGAGGCCTAGGTGGGCGAATCACTTGAGGTCAGGAGTTCGAGACCAGCCTGGCCAACACGGTGAAATCCATTCTCTACTAAAAATACAAAAATTAGTCAGGTATGGTGGCAGGCACCTGTATTCCCAGCTAATTGGGAGGCTGAGGCAGGAGAATCGCCTGAGCCCAGGAGGCAGAAGTTGCAGTGCCAAGATCACACCATCGCATTTCGGCCTGGGTGACAAGAGCGAGACTGCATCTAAAAAAAAAAACCAAAAACACCCAAAACAAAGCAAAAAAGACTCAAGTAGAGGGGAAAAATAAAAAATACCAGTAGAAAACACACAACCAAAAGATCTATATGACAATGAAACTGTAACCACAACACATATAAAAAGACTGGATTTATTTAAAAAACTAGAAGCTCAGATTGTGTGAAAAAAAACACAATTCAGCCATATAGTGTTTATAATAGGCATAACTAAAGCCAAGTAGCATGGAATAATAAAAATAAAGATAAGATATATATTGATTTAACAAGAAGAAGGTGAGGAGAAATTAACGTTAAGTAGAGAGTTTATTTGGGCCAGGCTTGAGGATGGAAACCCAGGAGCATAGACTCCAGTTGCCCTGAATATACACTTCATTTAGCAGCATTTACAAGTTGATTTGTAAAGGCAAAAACAGGGATAGGGAGTAAGTTGATACAAAGTTGTTTGCCAAGAATTCTCCATTGGTTTGCAGAAATAACGTGGATTAGTGATTGGCTATGCATTGTTAAGCTACAGAGTTTGGGTTACAGTGTCTGGTGTGGCATTATTAGGTTAATTTATAGATGGTTGGGACAATCACAAGCAGTTTGAAGAGATAACTACATAACTCAAAAAGCGGAGTAAGCCTAGTATGGTGGCTCAGACCTGTAATCTCAGCACTTTGGGATTCTGAGGCAGGAGGACAGCATGAGTCCAGCAGTTGGAGACCAGCCTAGGAAACACAGTGAGACCCCATTTCTCTCTCAAAAAAAAAAAAAAAAAAGAAATCAGCTGGGCATGATTTTTACATCTGTAGTCCCAGCTACTTGAGAGGCTGAGGCCAGAGAATTGCTTGAGCCTGGGAAGCCAAGGCTGCAGTGAGCTGTGATTGCACCACTATACTCCAGCCTGACTGACAGTACAAGGCCCTGTCTCAAAAAAAGATAAATAAAACAAAAACGAAAAATCAGCTGGGCATGATTTTTACATCTGTAGTCCCAGCTACTTGAGAGGCTGAGGCCAGAGAATTGCTTGAGCCTGGGAAGGCAAGGCTGCAGTGAGCTGTGAAAAATCCAGGGGAGTAGGGTGTGATTGCTGTCTCAGTTTAATGTCTCCCTGGATGTAATAATTAATAGTACTCTTGCAGGGCTCAGATAAAAGTTCCTTTATTTTCTTATATGAATCCAACAAAAAATGAAGACAGTAGAACATCCATATTATTAACAAATAATACAGGATTTCCATGGAAACTACAAAGAGGGCTATTTACTGTTGATAAAAGTTGTAATTCCCCAAACAGACATAACTGTCTTGAATCTTTAGGCATTCAACAACATAACTTCAACACATAAAAATCTAAGACAGGTAAAACAAAAAGACAAATAGACACTTTTATAATTGTACTGGAGGCTTTTAAAATACCTTTTTCCTACATGGACAAATTAAGCCAAAAACAATAAGGATAGAGAAGATTATGGTTTCTCTCTGTATTTCTAACATCTATTTATCTACCTATCTTTGTATCCAACTGAGAAGCTATCATTCTTTCACACATTTCAAGAAAATTTACATCTATATATATAAATTTAACATGTGATAGTGGAGGCATGTCCAATCCACAGGAGAGGACAAAGAATTATATCAATGATATTGGAACTACTATACTGCAATTTGGAAAAAAAACATCAGGAGATTCTAACCTCTCACGACTCATAAACAAAAATGAATTATAACTAGATTAAGTAGTTAAAACTAGAAATCAGGATTATATAATTATTAAAACTATAAATTATATAATTATTAAAACAAATGAAAATATTTTGTTATTTTATGACAGAAAATGGCTTTCTAAATGAGGCATTAAACCCAGACTCTGTAAGGAAAATAAAGATGGGTGGCTTTCATGAAATAAAAATGTAAAAGAAAAGTTACTTGAGCTTCAAGTATATTAAATGGTTTTTATAAAGAAATAATATTCAGCTTCAGACCGAGACTTCCAAGTGAAGCTGATTTAGGTTCTTTCTCAAGGTGACTTTGCACCTAGTCTGTTTGTAGTCAGGTGTAAGAAAGACCTTCTTTTGCAAATTCCCATGCCTCTGTCTTAAAACTGTGACTTGATTTTAATTTTTAGTTGCATAACTCTTCAAGTTGAGTTTACTTTTATTTTTCTACTTTTATTATATTGTGAAAAGAAAGTCTATTTTGAAGGTCATATTAGATTAGCTCTTTCTCTTGAGTGTCGACCTTTTCATTTTGTGCAAAGGACCTTCCCATCCTGCCTAATTTATATTTTAATAGCAAACTTAATACCAGTGTTTTTTGCCATCCTATGGTTTATATTTTCTATTATTCACAATGGAAGATACATAGCACATTTTAGCAAGGTTTACTCTGGCGCAGCTCTCAAAGTGTCTCATTGCTATCAAGACCTATTCACCCATCTTTGCTAAAGTGTTAATATGAGCCAGTGATTCTTATTATGTGATAGATTATGTTTGTATGCTTGACACACTCCTAAGTGTACCTTGTCGCAGGATCCTAAGTGTCTCTGGCACACCAGACCAAACCTTGCCTTTTTCTGTTATTCAGTAAAACATATTAGATTAAAATATAAGACATTGATACCATAGAAGGAGAAACTTGAATCTATTCTTACAAAGAGAAAAAAAATACTTTGCTTCATTTTAACTACTGCTATAACACATTACTCGTGTCATATTGTACAAATGATTTCAATGTGCCAGGATGAGTGACACATTAAGAGCTATTGCCCTAGAATATTACTTTTCATGTTTCTGCTGAAAATAGTAAGACATGCTCAGATTTAAGGTATAATCTAGGTTTTATAAATTTGTTAAATATGCTTAAAAACTTCTACACACATCTCCCTACGTTTTATGCATGGGGATAATTGCATATGTCTCTTAAATACTATCTAATATTTTTCTCCAAAGCTACCATTGATAAGCAGTTTAACACCACTTGTAAAAACAATGGCCATGAAGTTCAGCATAAACAGAAATGAAAGAGAACCGGTTAGTCTAGAAAATTAGTTAAAATATACTTTGAAAATGAATAAATTTAGAGACAGAATACTGATAGTGCCACTCAATAACTTTCATAATAAGATTGCATTTTTACAATGTCAATAATAAAAGAAATACAATAAAAAGGCCTGATGTTTCTATTGCCTTAAGCATATGTTATACAAACTAGTACCCACTTAATTAGTTTCATTTTTTTACCCTGAATATATTTTTATTTTTAAAGACACAAGGTCTTGCCATGTTGCCCAGGCTGGTCTCAAATTCCTGGCATCAAGCAATCCTCCTGCTTTGGCCTCCCAAAGTGCTGGGATTACAGCCGTGAGCCACTGTGCTTGGACTTCCATTTTTAATTTCTGAAAATATATATATTTTTGTAAATTTAAGTGAATATTCAACTTTGCATATTTTTTGCTATTGAAACGTCAAGGTTTTTTTTCCACTTCTCTTTTCACTCAACATATGCCTGGAGAAATTTCTGCAACACAAGTGATAACTATGAGATGGGCTGGGTCCTCGTCTATATAGTAACATCTCATGAGAATAACCAGAGCCTTTTTAGCAGCTCATTAACAAGGGTTATCATTTTCTAAATGATTACTTCACGGCAATAAATGATAACCTAGTACCTGATTAAGTGAATATAAGTATCAACGCATTTCCTCTATTATTAGAAACTCTTTATGCACCATATTTCATTGGTTCCTTATTCATATTGCTGTGTTATCTTATTATGGGTTGTGAGAATCATTGTTGAGTGATGTATCAAAAGCCTTACTACCTCAAAATACCTCCCACTGTGGGTGCCACGTGTCTTTGCAACCACATCCCAGAGGGCCCACAGTCATTCTGCATTTAAGAGAGGCTGAGTTGGGGTAAGACTCTTTTTCTTCCCTGCCAAACTTCCTATTCTGACGATTATATGTCTGCTATCATCACAGGGAATAGAATATCCTCTTGCACTAGCCTAAAGAAGGGGTTCCGGAAACATCTGCCTATTCTAACAGGACAACTGTAGATCTAATGACAGATTCTAGGTGATTACAAAATCGACCAGAAGGGCCCTCAGTGAGTTTGACAAAGAAGATACAGTCTTGGTGGCCCTCGTCCTTGAGCAGCTCATTCAAAAGTTAATCATCTTAAGCAGCAGAACACACTGGGCATGTGGCATGGGAGGCCGAGGTGGGCAGATCACTTGAGCTCAGGAGTTCAAGACCAGCCTGGGCAACATGGCAAAACCCCATCACTGCGCGTGTGTGCGCGCACGCGCGCGCGCACACACACACACACACACACACACACACACACACACACACGCACAAAGCTGGGTGTGGTGGCGCATGCTGGTAGTCCCAGCTATTAGGGAGGCTGACGTGGGAGGATAACTTGAGCACAGGAGGTTGAGACTGCAGTGAGTGGAGACTGCACCACTGCACTCCAGCCTGGGTGACAGAGTGAGACCCTGTCTCAAAAATACAAAAAAATAAAAAAACAAAGCAGCAGAACAAAAGGATTGCGTGGCATGTCTCACAGGCAACTATTGGTAAGACAAATACTTATAGCATCCCCCATATCGGCTCACACACACTAAGCATTTGGGGACACATCTAACTATTTAAGTAACCATGATGCCATTTTGTAAAATTTAAAATTCAAACCAAATGTATACTGAAAAATATAATATGCAGAACACAAAATATGCAAAATACCTTTTAAAGAATTAGATTTTATCAACTACTGGTAGAAAATATAAGACAATATTGAGTAATGAAAATGCAAACCCTCAATACGTCATAAATAGCCCTCTAGTTCTGAAAGGCAGAAAAGCATAGTAGTTATAAGGATAGAGTAGAGATAGGCCATGTGGAAAAACCTGCCCAGCTCTATGACCTTGGACAAATTCCTGAAGCTTTGTCTATCTCATTTGCCTTACCTGTTAAAATGTAGATAACGTCAGTACTTGCCTCATTTGGAGGGTGTGAGAATCAGACTAATTAATTTATGATAAAGGACTCTGAATGGTGTATGGCATATCGTAACCATCTGATCTTATTAAGTCTGACTCTGATATTATTCTCCATTTTTTTCTCTGCTTTTACTATCTTCCTAAATATTACATTGAAACAAAACAAAACAAAACTCAATAGCACCAGCTCATAACAATAATGGTTTTCTGAACTGGAGCATATACATGCTAAATGTCTTATCCTATGGGTTTTACTGAAACTCATTTAGGCCTAAGAATGCCTCAAATCTAAGATAGAGACCATTTCAACACCATAGGCTACTTGTTCTGAAATACGAACTATCGGTTTCCGGAATCCCATATATATATAAACTTATCTGTGATCACGGAAGTTTTAGAAAGTAGCTTTTTTTTTTCATGAGCAATTAGAAATTTATATAAATTACAAAAATATTACGAAAAGTATAAATTGTGAGTTACCTATTCATTTTCCTTTTATTTCTTTAAGTTTGGAGTAATAAAATATGTTAGTTATTTTTAGAGAAATCATCTTGTTCAGTGCCAAGTTAACTGCTATTTGTAGACCAAATCAATTGAGATAGCATTAAACATCAAAACAAGACAGAAGCTAGGAAGCTGAATAGCTGTAATTAAATAATATAATGGGAAATTAATTTGGTTTCATTTAGGGCTCTTTTGGCAGTATGGATCAAAAAGTGACCACCATCATTTTAAAGAGTGCATTAATTTGACATGTAAGTAGGTAACTGAAAGACAGAAAGAAACTGATCTTTGTAAGTTCTTCTGGTTTGGCATTACTAGAAAATAAAGCATTTATTAAGTAAGTACAAATTAGCATTGTTCTCTAATTCCTTCAGCCTTTAATTGAAGGATATTGATGCCCATGTGAACATTTTATTATTCTGATTATCAGTCATTTATGATGAAAAGATATTGAAGTCTTCCTAATTTCTATAAAATATTTTCTTTATGCAGCCCTCTACTTTGAAGGCTGAGATAAATCAGCATAGTTTGGCTTTTTATCCTAAAACATAATAGGAAAATCATAATTGAATTTCACTTTGATCTCACGACTATACTAGTTGTTGACTGCTTTCACTTTATATGATACACTTCATTAATATGCTAATAAAATTTAGATATGCTTTATTTAGAAAATTATCTTAAATGTCAGTGAAGATCTAAGTCCTGTGCATTATTTACAGACATTGGTTTTCAGTTTATCTTTATATTCCATTTTAAATCAAGCCACATCTTTGTTGCCCTGGACTTCTGAAATCATCTTCACTTTTCTCCCTGTGCAATGGACTGAATATTACTCCCCAAGATTCACATGTTGAAATCCTAACCCCGAAGGTGATGGTATTAGAAGGTAGGGCCTACAGGAGGGACAAGATCATGAAGGGGGAGACCTCATGAATGGGATTAGTGCCCTTATAAAGAGACTGAAGTCAAGTAAGAGAAATGACAGAAAACAAACAACACAGGTAGCTATGAAACTTTCCATCTGTGATATAGTTCTTTGGAAAAATAAAATAAGTTTCCCATGATAAGTAATTACTCATCTTCTGCTGAGAGAGGTATTTTATATCAAATGATAAGGAAGGCCCTCTGAGAAAGATGATGTTTGAATACAAGAAGCCAGCCTTGTGAATATCTGGAGAAAGAGGAGGGAGAAGAAAAAGGAGAGAGAGAAGAGCGCTCTCCTGCCTTTTCCATCATGTGAAGTCACAAAAAAGGTCTGGTAAGACACCAAACTTGCCAGCCCCTTGATCTTGGACTTCGCAGCCTCCAGAACTATAAGAAATAAATTTATGTTGTTTATAAGTCATGCAGTCAATGGTATTTGGTAATAGCAACCTGAAAGAACTAAGATATCAAGTTTCATTTTCACTTTGGCCTCCTCCTACCCACCAGATTCCAGCCCTTTTCCATATAGCAGCCAAACAGCCCTTTTACATATTTTTAATTACTCTTCATGTTAATACTCTCCGATAGCTTCCCATGGTTTTTAGAATAAAACTGAGTCTCCTTATCATGTACAAGGTCATAAATGACCTGATCTCTTCCTCCATCTTCAATCTTATTTATCCTCTTGTCTATGTTGTTCCAGCTATGCCAGCCCTCGAAATTTCTACATGGGAGGTTTTTCATTAACTTGCAACCTCTGCTTAGAGCAGTTTTTCTCCAGATAGTCGCAAGGCTGGCTCCTTCTTGCTCTTCAACTCTAAATCCAAATACCATCTTTCTGAGAGGGGCTTTCTTACCATTAATATCAAATGCCTCTCTCAGCAGGTGATGAGTAATTATCACAGGAAACTTTCTTATTTGCTCCAGTGCTGTATGACAAATGGAAGGTCTCATAGTTATCTGTTTTGTTTGTTTACCTGTTTTCTGTTATCACTACTAGAACCTTATTCAGAAATAAGTTAATGTAATGTAATTAATGTAATTAATGTTCAGGACAAATTGAAGCTGACTGTCACTCAATTTTTTTTTTATTATTTTGTAAGGTCATAGCACCAAAAGATTTCTGTTTTCTTTACAGTGCACACTTATATCAGACAAATTCAAGTTTAGAGTAGCTAAACTAACATATTTCAAATAAAGGAAGTTTAATATAGAGAGATAGGGGACTGATTACAAGGGCTACGAAAGAGATGAGAAATCAGCAAGGAAATTATGACGCAACCTACCATATGTAGAATGTTTCCATCCCTAAAACGAGAGGGACGAAGGAAGAATGTCACCAAAGTCAAGCTGCTGGAAGAATGAAACAAACCTGCACGTTGTGCACATGTACCCTAAAACTTAAAGTATAATTAAAAAAAAAAAAGAAAAGAAAAAAAATTTTTCTGGCATGTTCTATGGGAGCTGGAACTAAGGAAGCATGGCCTAATTGCGGGAAGCTGAGTCACAGATAAGGTACAGTTAGAGACTCAATCCAAAATAGGAAGATAGAGGAGGAAGGCTTGTCTTCTCTTCCTGTCCTCACGTCTTTTGTGGGTACCTTCCATTGACCAAACCTACCTAGGAAGGTAGAAAGTAAAGCAGCTAGGGAAGTGTAGTTCTCTGGAATACAGAGCAGATCCTGGAAGGGCAGGGAATGCATAACCTTTAGTGAGATTTCAGAAAATTTACGCTGACAAGGAGACATACTCCCACAGTCTACAATTTGGAATCTCTTTTGAGAATGCATTCCTATTTTTATTGCCTCATAAACCCTTGCCTCTGAAAATTCATCTTAGGTATTTTCTTTGCCACATCCCCTCTGAAGGGTTTCTATAATCAACTTAAGAAATACTTTCAGACAATTGTAATCTACCATGTACTCTGGAGCCACATTTGCTATTATTAACTCAAGAGGTCATGTGTTTATGGCACATTCTGGGGCAGTGTCTCTCAACCCTTCCAAATATGAGGACCCTTTAGAAATACGTAATTTTTATTAGAAAGCTAATACAAGTTTCATGTAGAAAAATTATAAAATACGTAAGACTGCAAAATATTAAAATAAACTTTTTCATCTCAAAAAGTACAAATAATTATTTTAACCATTGTAGTGTATATTTCTCCATTTCTTTCTTTTCCCTGTCATATATATATATACGTATATACATATATGTACATATGTGTATATATATGTATATGTATATACATATACACATGTATATATGTGTATATATATGTGTATATGTATATGCATATACACATATATACATATATTTATGAGGGAAATATCTATAGCCATATACACATTTTCACACAAAATCTGATTTTTTTAAAAAATTGCATACTAGTACACATATTCCTTAACAATCTGCTTAGGTCATTAAAGAATCATAAACATTTCTTTTTATCACTAATTATTCATTCACAGAATTAATTGTTCTACAGTGTTTCCGTATGACCGAATGTACTATATTTGAGTAATTCCTACTATTTGATGCTCACGTGGTTTCCAATATTTACTAGGGTAAACATTGAGATAAAAAAAAACTTTGGTCGGGCGCAGTGGCTCACGCCTGTAATCCCAGCACTTTGGGAGGCCTAGGTGGGCGAATCACTAGGTCAGGAGATTAAGACCAGCCTGGCCAACATGGTGAAACGCCATCTCTACTAAAAATACGAAAGTTAGCTGGGTGTGGTGGCACCTGCCTGTAATCCCAGCTACTCCGGAAGCTGAGGCAGGAGAATCGCTTGAACCAGGGAGGCGGAGGTTGCAGCGAGCCAAGATCGCGCCACTGCACTCCAGTCTGGCAACAGAGCGAGACTTCATCTCAAAAAACAAAAACAACAACAACAACAACAACAAAAACTTTATAAATAAAATAGCATATATATATCTATCTTTATTTCATTACAATAAATTTCTAGATATAAAATATTTTAGTAAGTAATATAAAAATTATAAATTTTTTAATTGTCAAAATATTCTTCATAATTGCAAACTGATAGTCCAGCTAGCAATGAATATCTGTTTCTTTACATCCACACCAACAGCAGATATGATCATTTATTTTATTCTTTTAAGATTTGTTTTATGGTGTCAACATTATTAGAGAAGGGGGAAAAAGGACTTGTTTTTTACTTAGAAAAAGAAGTTTTTTTCCCACCACAAGTTCAGATTATATTAATTGGACTTTTGGCATCAATTATTTGTAAAAAATAGAGCCACAAACATGGGTCCACATCTCCTTTATAAGGAGTGGTCCTGCAGTACTGTAATACCGAAATTAGAGATTGTAAAAAAGCACAAACTTGCAGGTGAAAGAAAAGCATGCTAATGGAAAGCCTCAATCCGAAGAACACGGAGAATGGGTTTCCACTTCACTGGTTCCTCCACATGTAAAATTACTGCATGCTTAGGAAGGTTTTCATCTGTGAATAACTCAAGATTTTCCACAGCAATAGTTGAGAAAATAAGATTTGCCCCAGCTGCTATGATCCATCAGTGATGTAAGGCCACATTATGAAAATAGTTTTTGCTGAGTTTCTGTAATGGCGAGGGCTTTTTCAGTAGCAAGTAACAAAAGGAGAATTCTACTGGTGCAGAAAAACTGGGATTGAGGGTTTAAACAGAGCAGGTACCTTTCTGTTTCTTCCCCTTTCTTTAGCTCTGTGTCCCCATGTGTTAGCTTCTTTGTCAAACAATCTCTCTCCCTTTGTGGGGAAAGATGGCTACCAACAGCCCCAAGCCTAGTCTATGTTCCTACAACTTGTAATCCAAAAGAAAAAGAAATACCTCTCTTCCTCTGCATTAAATGCTTAGAGGACCCTATGATTGGCCCTACTGAGGTCACCCACGGACGTGGTAAAAGCAAGTCACTGTGGCAGTCAACTCCGCTGATACAGTTTGGATATTTGACCCCGTCCAAATCTCATGTTGAATTGTAATCCCCAATGCTGGAGGTTGGGACTGGTGGGAGCTGTTGGGTCATGGGGGCAGATCTGTCATGGCTGGATGCTGTCTTCATGATAATGAGTGAGTTCTCATGATATCTGGTCATTTAAAAGTGTTAGCACCTCCCTCTTTTGCCTCTGCTTTCACCCTGTGACAGCTCCCACTTTGCATTCCGCCATACTTGAATGCTTCTTGAACCCTCATCAGAAGCTGAGCAGATGCCCAGTGCCATGCTTCCTGTACAGCCTGTAGAACTATGAGCCAATTAAACCCATTTCCTTTATAAATTACCAGTCTCAGGTATTTCTTTACAGCAACACAAGAATGATCTAATACACCCACCAAGACTGTTGCTACAGAAAAATCAATATCATGCTGATTATCAATTTCCTGCCACCATTCTTTCTAGTAGACCTCTCTGAAAACTTCCCAGAGTAGAAAAGCATCGTTATACTTAACTGCTGCCTTCTGGTTAGAAAAACCAGTAAGCACCAAAGTCAGGTATCAGAAATCAAGACGTGAGGTCACTATTTCTATTTCAAAGGCTATTTACAGAAACATGGCTAAACACAGAGGGCCACTTAACTGGGTAACTAAGGAACTGAAGGCCCAGCTGGTGAGTAGCTAAAGAACACAGGGGTGGTCTTTTTGAATTGAGGAAGCAACAATTTCTTAGAAAGTGACCGAAATCTGCCTACATTATATGGAAAGGTCTGGTGGCCTTTCCACTGATGCTTGCTTTGATGAGGAACTGTAGACTAGTGTCCTCTTCAATTGCAGGAATCTGTGTTTAATAATGTCAGTAGAAATAAGGTGTTGTGGAGTTTCTTGAAGCTCAGTGGTTATAAATTACACTGGATAAAATTTAGCATAAGCAATAGGCTAATCTATTGAATATTCATCGATTAGATGTAAAAACTATGAAAAATAATTTAAAATTTTTACATGCTTTTGCATTTATTCGTGTGCTCTCAAACTGTTAAAAATGAACCTCTTTCTCTGTTGTTTTACTGGCTTCCTTTGAAAAAACAGACACAGAGTCAGGATAAATTCTCAACTTTCTTTGCATGTTTAGATTTTTACTTAAGAGTTTCAATTTCTGTCGCTGTCTAGAATTGATAAGGCCTTTTTTCGTTCTCTCATTTTCCCATGTTTCTCTTCTGACTTCTTTGGTTGACCACAGAGAATCTGAGAAACAAAACTGTGTAATAGATATCATATTTTTGAGAAGGGGGGCATGGTGGCTCAGGCCTGTAATCCCAGCACCCTGGGAGGCTGAGGTGGGTGGATCATGAGGTCAGGAATTTGAGACCAGCCTGGCCAACATGATGAAACCCCATCTCTACTAAAAGTACAAAAAATTAGCTGGACGTGGTGATGCATGCCTGTGATCCCAGCTACTCAGGATGCTGAGGCAGGAGAATCACTTGAACCTGGGAGGCGGAGGTTCCAGTGAACTGAGATCGCACCACTGCACTTCAGTCGGGGCGACAGAGCAAGACTCTGTCTCTCCCTGCCCCCCACCAAAAAAAAGATATCAGATTTTTGAAATCATAATTTTGACTGTGAAATGTTGAAAAAGTTACTAAGCCTCTTTGAGTCTGTTTCTTTGTTGCAAAATTGGGAAAAAATATACTTACCTCATCAGGTGAAGGTGAGAATTAAAATTGATACCATAGAGTGTTTATAATACATGTAAATATAAGGCAGAACTTAATAAGAGCTGCTATTATTTACAGAGGACCATATTTGATATAAAGACAAAAATCCCAATTGTATTTATTCAAAAAACAGGATTGGATAATTGTAAGTTAATAACACTAGGTGTGGTGTGCTGATATGTAACCATTTAATTAGAAACCAAGATCTTAAAATTGGTTCATGATGATTGAAAAACTCATTGATACAATGAAAAGTATAAGTGCAGCAACTTATTTCATTAAAGGTATCTGCATTTGGTACAGATTATTGCTTTAAACTAGTTAAAAATAGAGCGCGCATGTTGATTTTACTGTGAGCTGATATATACTTAAAGTCTCAAATTTGCTTTTCCTTAACTGAATTTTGGGTAGAAAATTATCTTCCTCACCATTATGCATCACATCACATTTCTTTACTGTCCCTAGCTAAGCTGCTAATAGAAGATACATGTCGAATCTGCCCAAACTCTTTTATCTCCAGATAATCTTTTAAATACCATACAACATAATTGAGTTCAGGTGGCAGCCGTCAGTGAGATAAATCTTGAATGAGATTAAGATGAATGACAGCACAGCTTGCCAAAGTCCCACTGCCCCAGAAAGAAATGAGAAATTAATGGCATCAGCACTGGCGGTGTGACCAACAAAAATACAAATAAGACAAGGGAAGACAATGTTTAAACATGTCATGCATATTTCAGTGATCATAAATCTCTGGCTTCCTTTTGTACCTTTAATATTCCCATACTCCTGGGATCAATCATGTAGAACCAGAACCGAACAGTACACATTCCAAGGCTTGCTGGGAAGGATTTGGAAGTAGTAATTCTGGCAACGGATCCTTCCTTGGAGCCAGATGAGTTGACGTACAGGAAGTGCTGACCACTACCTTGAAATAGATTAACAAAATTTTTTTCAGTGTAATGATAATATCGCATGAGTCGGAATGTGTTTAAACTATTAACAGATATCTTTTTATCCTTATACATACACACAATCAAACAGAACTCATTTTGATTTTGGGAGTCATATATCAATAACATTTCATTCTTCTGAGCCTAAAAAGTGTCACTATGATCATGTGATTCACAAAATTCCCTTGAGCCAGTGACTAATAAAGTAATCAAATATTGGTTTTGAATATGAAGGTGTATTCCTATTCTCCTAATTTGCTTAAACCTGTCAGATTCCAGCAATAAAATACTTTGTATGCTGTGCATACAGCAAATACAGAGTAGGTACTGGGGACTGACTGGTATTGTATCTTATTTTCAGTTGCTCTGATTCCCACACTGGCCAGGGTAGTAGTGAATGGCTATAACTGCAAAGTGAAATGTGATTCTAAGAGTCATTACAATAGCTTTTTCTGGGTAATACACTATTTCTTTTCTTCTCAAATGCATTAGTATGTGAAAGATTTCTGCATTTAAACACAATTGGATTTTTTTCTGTTGCCATTGTCAGAAATTCATCATAGCTATCATTCCCCTTTGTGGGTAGGTAAATATGAAATATATATATGTGTGTGTGTATTTTTTCCTTAAGTTAAATATTTGTAGTCCCATTCAAGACTATTAATATATTTATATTTATTTATATAAATATTATATAATTATTTATTATTATATATTATATATTATATATTATATATATTATATATTTATTATTATATAAATATATAATATTTATATAAATATATAATATTTATATAAATATTTATATAAATATTATATATTTATATAAATATTATATATTTATATAAATTTCAACATTTCAACAATGTCCTTCAAAATATAGATGACAAAAATGAATACACAATTTTTTAGAGCAATTTTAGGTTTAAAGGAAGTTGAGAGGACAGTAAGAGAGTTTCCTGTGTCCTCATACCTCTCCCACAGACCATTTGTGTATTATTAACCTTTTTTGCATTAGTGTGTTACATTAGTTACAATTAATGAGCCAATATTGACACACTCTTATTAATTAAATATTGTTTTGGCTATTCTGAGTCTTTTGCTTTTCCATGCAATCTTTAGAATCGGTTTGTTAATATCTACAAAATAACTTGGGATTGGAATTGCATTGAATTTATACATCATGTTGGGAAGAACTGATGTCTACAAAATATTGTCTTCCTATGCATGTACATAGAACATATTCTATGTTTTGTCTTCTTGGAGTAATGATCTAATTATTACTACATAATGTTATGTAATGTTTCTTTTTATTCCTGTAATCTTCCTTTCTCCAAAGTCATCTTTATCTAAATTTCTACATTCTTTTGATTAATGTTAGCATGGTATATGTTTCTCCATGCCTTTATTTTTAATCTGTGTGTTTATATTAAATGTAGGTTTCTTACTGACAATATATAGTTGGGTCTTGTGTTTGCATCTATTTTGACAAATAGGTGAATTTAGATGATTAGCACTTAATTATTCATATAGTTGGACTAATATTTATAACATTTACCATATTTGTCTTCATTTTGTATTCAATACTCTAATATCCTTAATCTTTGTTTTCTCCCCCCCCCTCCTGTTTTTTTCTGTCTTCTCTGGTTTTTTAATTGAACTTTTCACGATTCTGTTTTTATCCTCTCTTAACATATCAATTTTATATCTTCTGTTTTTACATTCTTTTTCTAGGGACTGACTTTGAATTTGCAATATACATTATAACTACCAAGCCAAATCCTCTGTCAAATATCATCATACCATTTTATAAGCAACTTATGTAACAACATAACTAACCCATTTCATGGGTAGTACAAGTACTGTAAAACAGAGTATTTTCAATTATTCCCTCCCACTTCTTATAATATAATTGGGCATTTCTATTCCCCTAGGTTGGTTAGGTTCTGGTAAAATAGTTTTTCTTGAAGGCAGGCCTTGTTAAGAATAGAATGCTCTAGGAATATTTCAAAATGGCTACTTTCCCCCTTTCCCCTGCTGAAAACTGAGGGGATTTTTCTTTCATCTTTGCTGTGAGAATGTGGGAGGGCTCCTGAAGGGAACATTCACCAAAGTGTGTGGGCTGCCAAGGGCTGGGTCCTCATGACACTGTTATCTCTCAAACTTGTCCACCTTGAGGCTGCAGCAATCTGTCGGTTTCAGTGAGGATTCCTACACCAGTACTTGTCCCTGAAGAGTTCCCGTTCATGGGCTACTTGCCCAGGTAAGTTACGATACTCTGTGTCTGTCTGGCTGGCTGTCCAATGTTGGGGGTAGTGGTTTGACTGTGACTTCAGTTCTCTAATGAATCTAAAAAGAATTGTTGATTTTCAGTTGGTTCACCTTTCCTTCTACGATGATAGGAATGATGCCTTCCAAGCTCCTTACATGCTGGACTGGAAGATGCAAATAACTTGCATCTATTTTTTTAAAAAAGCTATTTTACTGAAAATTTCTCTTTTCAACAACACCCCTTTATAAAGGCTGCCAAAATAAGAAAATTTCAATAAAATTTATTTTTATTTCTTTATTTATTTAGAGACGGAGTCTTGCTCTGTCGCCAGGCTGGAGTGCAACGGCACGATATTGGCTCACTGCAACCTCTGCCTCCCGGGTTCAAGCGGTTCTCCTGCCTCAGCCTCCCAAGTAGATGGGACTATAGGTGTGTGCCACCAAGCCCAGCTAATTTTTGTATTTTTGGTAGAGATGGGGTTTCACCATGTTGCCCAGGATGGTCTCGATCTCCTGACCTTGTGATCCGCCCGCCTCGGCTTCCCAAAGTGCTGGGATTACAGGCTTGAGTCACTGTGCCCGGCCTAATTTTATTTGAGTAAGATAAGCAGGGAACTTTGTCTGAGAATTATTGCAGCAAAATTTTCAGTACAAAAGATTACACATGAAAGCAACTTGGACTGTTCCTGTAGCATTGGTAAGCTGTTTTCTATCCTCATTGTTCTTTGAAATACATTGTATGTACCACCAAATATTGAGTTAGGAAAATTGAACACAGTACTTAATGCCACAGAAAAAAAAGTTTTCTAAGTTTCACATTTTGTTCCAAAAATACGGCTTGTTTTCTTATTTGGAAAATCACAACATAGGTGGAATGCAAAGCCAATATACCTAGACTGCACCTGTCAAACCTACTATGAACGGTGGCTTATTCATTAAAAACGTACTTTCTTTAAATCCAAGGTATTTTTAATTAAATAAGAATATCTGGATTTCTCCACATTCTGTTGCCTTTTACACACTTGAGAATTTCTAATGCATTTAGACTGCACTTTATCAGACCAACTTTAAAACATTATCTTCAGTAAGAAAAATATGGTATAATCCAATGAGCTATAATAACTTTTCATGTACAGTAAGGCTTAATTGAAAGTATGGAATATATTCATCCTATATTGGATGTGAATAAATAGCCTTGACTTTGTCCCAAATAGTTAAATAACTAATATGTTTGTATAAGTTATTTCTATTTTATAGTTCAGTTCTCAAATACTATAACATGTATAATGATAACTAATGTACTTCCATCTCAGAAGCAGATTCTATTTAATTCAGACTTTAAATATTTCTTTTTCCATGTTGTAGTGTCAACCTGATGTTGAAAGCCAAATATTTAAAGCAGTAGGTAAATTAGTAATTAGGTTCACTGACACAAATTTAACCAATTTTGCAAAGTTAGGAATTGAATTCCGATTTAAAATCTTGTATTTATGTAAATGTATTCCTCCAATTGCATACATACATTGAAACTCCACTAATTCAGATATTTCTTTTCAATACTTTTACTCCAATATCTAACTATAAAAGGCCAATTTTAAGTTTCCACAGCAACCTGAATTAAGTCTAACCAAATGCTCCATCCTTTGTAATAACTTACAGGCTCCTGAAGTAACTCAAGTCACAACATCTTTAGAGTTCTCAGTAATTTACTAATAAAGAGAAGTAAAAAACAAAATTGAGATATTTCTTCCAGCCTGGTACCTAACAACATTTCAAGTACTTGAAAAATATTCTAACAACATCGCAGGTACTTGGAAAATTACTGCACACAGATGGAAACAGTAATATATGTATTATTGCTTTCTTAAATAGCCATAGTTATTTTCTAATGGGGTGTGTGTCTTTTGGGCCCTACACAAATTCCCAAACCTTGAAATCAGACTGAACATCACCTTCTTTCCTATTCTACATTTTCCCCAGTAAATGTCACTTTTGTGACAGCAACTACTAAAACCAGCTTAGCAAAGATATGACTTCGTAGAAAGAAATGTTATACAATCTAATGTTTGCATTTTAGGGCTATGTCATGAAACACAATGTAAAGAAATTTAATTCACTGGGAATGATAATCCACTATTTCGCTGCAGCATATTTATTTTGGCACAGGACAATCAATGTCATGTAAGGCCCAATATCAAAGCTAACCATTCCAATTATTAATTAAGGGACTCTGGGCTGAGTTATCAAAGTATATCGCCACTTAACATCTTCAAATTTGCATACTCAATTTTGGTCTTACAAAATTGTGCAGTCTAACACAAAAGTCAGAAAACTGAATCTTGGCCAAAGTATTAATGCATGCCAAGGTATCCATTTTAAAATTTAAGAAAGCAAAAATGTACCTGGAAATTTAAAAGACACCATTGCAAATTTAATCTTTGGCAATTTTTAATTCTGAAACTCTAGCATATCTAAGTTTGACCTTATAAGAGGGATGAACTTTTGTGATGACATATATATATATATATGTATTTTTTTTTTGGAGAATCATAAAGATGAAAGTTGCTTAGCCTCTTGAAATTATTAATAGAAATTCATGAATTATCCAGAAACTATGTACTGTATCTCAATGTTATAACACCTTACATTGAATTATACTTTCAGAAATAGACTCATTCTTTATCTAGCAAGCTCAGACTAGACCCACTTTCAAACATTTATAAACTTTCAGTTGCTTCATTGAGACCTACCTATTTATATCTAGCAAAATCCTTGGGGAAGGTCAATGTAGCCTCTTGCACAAAGTTCAGAATATATTAAAGCAGATAATAAAGCTGAAATGTCTGAACTGCCACAGCATATTTAGAATTTAATGGTAAATCATTAAACCAACTCGCTTTATTTATATGACTCTATGAAAAGATCAACAACATTCACAGAACAGCTATTTATAGAAGCAGAATTTTCGTTTATTTGTTTGATTTTGGACTGTTTTACAGCTTACTACTTGCCATTTCAAAAGCTACTTAACCCTCATATATTCAGATCAGAATGCATTCAATTAATTTTGTAAAATCGATTACACTTTAATTAAATACTACCAGGTGTAGTGTTCTGGAATATTGTATTCATTAAATATATCTGAATTTTGCCTCTCCCAAACTGACACCAAATATTTTCTGGACACTTTTCATTTAATACTTCACTTTTGCTTGTGTAAGTTTATGATTATAAGTTCTTAAGATTCCTGGGGCACAGATTTTACATTTTGCATCTTAATTAGCTACAATTAGGCAATGAATAGAGATTTCCAATTAATATTCAACTTTTACCTTAAAATCTCTTTAAAAGAGTTGCACACATTTTTGAAAATTGTAGCTGCTTAATGTCAAATACAATAGTATAAATTCAGCATCAAAGTGTACTATCCTCAAATCACAACAGTTACTTAATATCAGAGTGCCAAATATATACTAGACAAATTCAGAATCAATCACTATGCTTCATGGACATTTTTTCACATTGATGTCAGCAGAGGGTTAAAAATTCTAATTTGTCTTTTAGATGTGATTAGCTACACTCTCGAGATTTTAAAACTGTTTCATTGAGTCATTCTACTATAAGGTAATCAATTTTACATTTTTCTGTTAAAAAAAAAAAGTTGATACTTTTAAAGGAAAGCTAGCTGGGCTCGGTGGCTCACGCCTGTAATCTCAGCACTTTGGGAGGCCCAGGCGGGCAGATCACCTAGGGGCAGGAGCTCGAGACCAGCCTGACCAACATAGGGAAACCCCGTCTCTACTGAAAATACAAAAAAAAAAAAAAATTAGCTGGGCATGGTGGTACATGCCTGTAATCCCAGCTACTTGGGAGGCTGAGGCAGGAAAATCGCTTGAACCTAGGAGGCGGGAGGTTGCAGTAAGCCGAGATTATGCCATTGCACTTCAGCCTGGATAACAAGAGCAAAACTCCATCTCAAAATAATAATAATAATAGTAATAAAATTTAAAAAATAAAATAAAGGAAAGGTATGCTTTGACAGCTTCAGTGCCCTAAGAAGAATCATACTTACTGCACTAAGGAAAAATAATAAAAGACAATTTCTCACTTCAAGTGATCTGAATTCAATCCCTGCTTTAAATTAAGACTCAGTTTTAGACTTTTTTTTTCTCATTTTCCTGTTCATAAAATAAAGCTGGCTAATAGTTTTTAAAAATGCTGTGCATTATGCCTCTTTCAAAATAGCAAAAGCTCCATTCTTCAGAGTCAGATTTATTCAGTCTGCCTCTGCATCCTCCATAATTTCTGCCTGTCTCTCACTCTCAATAGAAGGGTGTCTAATGACTATCAGGTGAAACGCTCTCAATCTCTTTTTGTGCTTTCATTTTCTTCCCGCAGATTTCCAACGTGCATCTGCAATTTTTTTTTTTTCTTACTCTGTCTCCCAGGCTGCAGTGCAGTGGCACAATCTTGGCTCACTGCAACCTCCGCCTCTTGGGTTCAAGTGATTCTCGTGCCTCAGCCTCCCAAGTAGCTGGGACTACAGGCACGCACCACCACGCCCAGCTAATTTTTTGTATTTTTAGTAGAGACAGGGTTTCACCACATTGGCCAGGCTGATCTCGAACTCCTGACCTCAGGTGATCCACCACCTTGGCCTCCCAAAGTGCTGGAATTACAGGCGTGAGTCACTGCACCCAGCTCACATCTGCAATTTTTAAAGGCTGTGAAATGTAAATATGGCCAGCGAGAGAAAAAGTTTCCTCAAAGTTGTCAGAATGGAAAACACAGATGCAGTGTTTCTGGAGACGAATGAATTTTTCTCATAGCATTTGATAAAAATGTCTGTCATTACATTATTCTGATTTGCTTTTTAAAGAGTGATACAATGACTATTTCTTTTAAATGTCATAAATTATATTTTGTTCCAATAAGTAATGCTTTAGGCATTAATCTCTTTTGAGACTAATTATTGCCTCTTAAATAAAAACACTTTTTTACCAGAATGTCTCATTTTAATGCTATTAACTGTCATCAAAGTCAATATTATAAACTCCCCCCATGCGCCCCCCGCAGTATGCATTAATCTGATACAAAAATGAAGCTTCTGGTTGTGGCATGCCAACACAAGGTAGAGTCATCTTATTTTTAAAGAACCTAATATGCTCAGCAGCAAGAATACCTCAATCACAGGAAGATGATATATAAGTGAAATTCGTTGCCATTTCCTATAAGTTACAGCTAGAGACAAGAGATTCTGAATCTCTGCATCCTCATATTCAAAGAACCCTGAAAAACCTCTTTATGAGTCATTTATTTGTCAAGATGCCTTTGGAAACATGAATTAACTTAATAACATTTCTGTAACTTTGTTTTCCAAATGAGATTACAAGTAAAACTTGTTTCATGGTCATGCGAGAAGGCAAAACTAATAAATGGTAGATGCTTTTATTTAGGTAAAATGATAAGTGGTCACTATTATAAAAGAGCTTTGACTTCATTTAAATTTCAGATCTATTTTACCTGGAGGAGTGTGGAAAGCAAGTAAGAACAGAAGAATAGTTATTTTCATTGAAACAGAAATATATTATCACATTATTTTAATGCATATGTAATGGGCAGAACTGTAGGCAGGATTGTCCACTGGTTAAGTCTGAAGGCACTGGAGCTGTAGACTTTGATTTGCATCCTGACTCTACCACTTATTAGGTATGTGACCTTGGGCAACCTACTTAAATTCTCTAGGACTCAGAAGCAATAAGAGATAATTATAGTACATACTTCAGCCTCATGGGGTTGTGGTAAAAATTAAATGATCTACTACATGTAAAGTACTTAGAACATAGTTGCAAATTAGTGCTACTCTCCTGGGAAATTTAGAGAATAGATATAAAGATGATTCTACCAGTGGAAATAAGACAATTAATTGCAAGTTATTGATTGAATAACTACTATAGAGAAGGTAGCATGTCTTTCATTTGGATGTAGAATGATGTGCAAGGTAAGACTGGTAAAATACAAAACAAATCCAAAATAATCTTACAAGCTAATAATATGTATTGTTTTAAAGACCAGCTCTGAGTCAAACTGCCTGAGTTAAAAGCCAAATACTGATTCTTATAAGCTTTGTGACTTTGGGAAAATTTCTTAATCCCTACTATGTCTCATATTTATCATCTATCAAATGGGGATAATAATAATTTACAGCTCATTTGGATTATTGGGAGCATATAATATCAAATATTGATGTAGATCATAAATGCTACTTAGTTCAACAAATAAAAGATGGCTTAAATTTGGTGAAGGAGGAAAAACTTCATAAAAGGTGTGTCCTAATGGGGTACTACCACTGAAAGACAGGCCATCCTACAGTCCTTATTTAAGAAGAAGCTTCTAAGGAAACTCAACTATCATGAGGAAGACAAAGACAAGGATACCAGAGGAAATGTTACCTTCTGACACCTACAGCTATAACAAACAGTAAATACAATCTTAGTCCTAGTCAGGTAAACATTAAAAACCTCACACTAATGGCCTTTTAATCTCAGTTCCTTTTACCCAGTATATAGTGTCTACTATCAGCCAAAAATTACAAATCATACCAAAACAATGGTACAATGAAGTATTGATATTAATAAAACCCAAAGTACTTCTGAGGTACAAGAACTCAGTTTGTAGAAGAAGAACATAAGAATTAAAATGAAAAATACAATCTGTAGAAGAATGCAGACAGTCCTTGATGCTAAACTGAAAGGCAATGAAGAGCCTCTGATTATTTGGCGGACCAGGAGTCACCAATTATAAATATTAATCTTGCGTCAGTGTGAAGAGTGGCCTCATTCAGAAGAATAGTTGCGTTGTAAATGAGTGGCCTTATCTACAATAGCCCAGAAGTGAGTATGGATGACAGATGTGAAAATGCAAAGATTATGAAAACATATAATCAGCTGAGAAAGAGAGCTGACAGAATTTGAAATTGAGAGAGAATTAACAGTGTTAACAATGATGATGACAATAACAGAGATACTAGAGTCATGAGAAGAAGATGCTTTCTGCAAGGAAGGCAAGTTTACATTTGAATATGTGACTTGGAGATACTAACAATTACCTAGTGGGCAAATGATAGTATGGAACTCAAATGTGGAAATAAGTGATTGATCAGTAGTATTAAATACATATAATAGCAAGAATCAGGTTGTTACAATTTTAAAAATCATAAAAGTCCTGGAAGAGAACTAGAATATATTCAAGAGGACAGAGACTGAATCTTCTAAAATATTATCTTTACACTATCTAGATCAATGGCCAAGAATGAGTGACCAATAATTACTAGTTGCAGAAATAATATTTTGCAGAAGACAGATTGAAGGGCACCAAGGAAGGTGTGGATAGTGAGGGGGAGGACACAAAGTGCATGAGGAATGGTTATTTAATATATATTTATAACGAAAACAATAATCATTAGAAGAGAATCTAGACTAAGTTTATTTCATTTTGTCTTTTTTTGGTTAAGATCAGAGAGAACTGTGATGCTTGAAGACAAAAAGTATGATGTGGTGACAGAGTGACAGTTTAAGGACACTCAAGGAAATAAATTAAAGGAAGCAAGATTATGGAAAGATAGAAATGGTTAAGTAGTTCATTATTTTACCAGGAAATAGAGTCTGTAAATAAATACATATTTAGAAGATTCTTTTTAGAGAAATTACGGTGTCTAGATGCTTATAAAACGATGAGATAATTCATCTGAAAAGTTTTCAGATTACATATTCAGAGTCTAATCATGCCCTCCAAGATTCCAAATGAACTGATTCATTCACATGTTTTTCACTCAGTATCATCTCACAGATAATACCTTTGACACAAACAAAAAACGCAAGCAAGCAAGCATCATTTGGGTCGTGCTTGAAACATTTGTTAAGTATTCTTGGAAATATTTTAAATAAATGTAGACAAATATACCAAAGTAAAGGAAGGAATATTTGATTGGGTATCTGATTCAGATGGTACATGTGGATGAATAGAAGGGGTTCATATTTTCAGACCAGCATTGCTTTTTGGCAGCAAAATGAAAATTACTGTTTGTTTGATGGGGTGAATAGCTGAAGAAATATAGAGCAGCTGTAGATAATCAGGGTTTGTTTTTGTTGTCGAAACATCACTAAGGTAAAAAACCTGTCTCAGAAAAAAAATAAAAGAAACAGGAAGGACCCTAACCTAAACACTCACTATGGTTTCATAGAGAAACACTTTTATTCTAATTGTGGTTAACAAGCAAACAATGGCTATCATTTATTCCTTTTCACAGAAAACTTTTAAGAAAACTAAATCTGCAAGACACATTCTGAGGCTTATCAGCCAACAAAGTCACCTGGATTTCTTTTTTGATGGTATTGTATGTTTGGAGTAGAATACTTGTATTTCTAAAAAGTTAAATGAGACAAGGAGAAAGTAGAAATATACTGATATGTAGGAAGAAAACAGCAACTAGAGTAACTAAGAAGGACAGAAAAAACATACTTGTTTTGAGCCATTGGTAGACAAAATGCAATGACAAAGATGATACCAATTGCAGCTTTTTTTTTTTTAGAAAACAAACCATCGATTACCATTTTTATGTCATCAGTTTTATACATTTTGGGATGTTTTGAGAAATCCACATTAAAGGACAGTGGTTACAAATACAGGCTTTTGCTTTAGATACACACGAGTTTCAATGCTAAGTTCAACAAGTGCCTTCTGTGTAGTTGGGGGAAAGTTAGTAACCCTCTCTGTGCATCAATTTCCTCTTCCGTGAACGACTCAAGGTTGTTGTGAGGATTAAATGAAAAAGCCTGTTCAGAGTCAGGTGCACGGTGATTGACACTCAGTGAATAGTAGCTACAAAGGGTCACATCAGTTTTGACAACAAGACATGTTCTATTTAGGTGGACATAACAATGATCTACCTTTAGTTATATGTTATTCCTTTAAAAAGAGGTAAACAATAGCAACTGTAAGAACCCCTCTTCATTTGCTTTGTATGAAAGTAGACCGTTTAATAGTCTTTTGTTCCAAACTAAAGTATTTACTTAATCATTGAACAAATATAATAATTAGAAAATATCAGAACCAGTTTTTTGTTATTGTTGTTTGAGAAGGCACCTAGCTCTGTTGCCCTGGCTACATTGCAGTGGCGTGATAACAGTTCATTGCAGCTTCAACCTCCTGTGCTCAAGCAATCTTCTCACTTCAGCTTCCCGAGTAACTAGGACTACAGGCACACACCTGGCTACCTTATAAAAAAAAAATTGTAGCAACAGGGTCTCACTATGTCTCCCAGGCTGGTCTCAAATTCCTGGGCTCAAGTAGTCCTCCTGCCTCCTGCGACGGCCTGCCAAAGTGCTAGGATTACAGGTGTAAGCCTCTGTGCCCAGTCTAGAACCAAATTATTTTTAAAAGATGATACTAAAGATTTTTCAAAGTATATAATGAGTATATGAAATATTAGTAATATTAATAACTGTTCATTTTATACTAATAGTTTGTCATTCTCCTTGATAAAAATCTCCTTTCACTTCATGCTTATATGTTTTGGTGGCATAATAGGAGAAAAGTCAAAGGAAAAGTAAAAGTAGGAGGCAACAATAGAAGAAAATGAGAAAAAAACTGATATTCATAGTGTAAATAAATGCTATTATGCAAAACTTGACTATGCTGATGAAAAATTTTGACAATGAAAGAAAATTAGAATAAGTATATACTGATGAAAAATTTTGACAATGAAAGAAAATTAGAACAAGTATATACATTTTTTTAAGTAATGGTAAACATGAAGAGGATATTTCTAGGGCAAGTCAAAGAAAAGACAGAAAAAGAGAGAAAGCTTTTAAAATAACCCGAGATACATTCATATATCATTAAAAAGTGAGATCCTGCATTACATACACCAAACAGCATTATAGGGATAATGCTGTCTAATTCATTGTAAAAGCAAAACATCTAAAGCAAATCAACTTTATGACTAGTGTTGCACTGGCAGTGCTGATGGTCATAATTTTCACTGTGGTTGTGAGTGATTCATGAATGGCAATTGCCACTAAAATTGAAACCAATTATGTAGTAAGCCAAAGTTTGTTCTATTTAGGAAGTTTCAGAACATGACTGTTAGTGAAACAACTAAACATTTTATTAAGAAAAGTACCTTTCTGCTGACAAAGATAATTGTATTTTAGTATTTATGAAAAAAAAAAATGTTCACACCATTACCTGAAAATGCAAAGCCTGTAACAATTAATACAAAATTTGGAAATAGAGATCTGGATGATTTTGTAGAGTGAATTATGAAGGCAACGTATGTCATTATAGAGATGTTATCACACTATCATAAATACTATCTCACAGGTCAGTAGAGACTCTGTAATTTCAAAAAATAATAAAATATCAACTTTGACATTATATAAGAAAAAGAAAATCATAAAAGATAAAGAAAATATAAAATTAAGAATGTCATTGGTTTTTCTCTATGGAAATTATAAAACAGAAATGATAATATCTGCACAATAATTCAGAAGACAGTTATTTATGGACACTGAAATTGCTGATATATTCAGATTGCCATGTTAATGTTGTTAAATTAAATTAGCAGGAGGCCATTAGTCTGAGGTTGTCTCTTTGAGTTTCTGCAAAACAAACTACAACCTAACTTAGTATGTACACAAACTATAATAAAACTTAGGAGTATAACAAACAACAGAGCTTCAGCTAATCATAAGCAGCTGTGTTTCAGCCAGTCACAGGCAGGCAACTAATGACAATATTCCGAAATAAGGCAGATGCCTAGCAGTATAGCCAATCAGGGGATTCCCTAAAGTGCTTCTGTGTTTGGCTCATAAAAACTTGCTCAAACTCAGGCAGAGCTCTCTGAACCTTTTCTGGTTCTGAGTGCTACCTGATTTATAAGTCATATCTGCAAAAATAAACTCTGCTAAATTTAATTTGTCTGAATTAACAGTTTGGTGTCAGAAGTGGGATGTGGAGGAAACCTCCCATGACCCTCAGAAGCACCAAGTGACCAAGCATTAAGTCCATTGCTCTCTTGCAACAAGTGAAGGCTGTGGGTGAGTTCTCTCTTAAATTTGAGCTCCTCAAATTTGTGTTTTGAGCTTCCTGATTTTATTCGAACAATTACTGGATATGACTGTGCCCAGGCTCATACTGAACTTCATAACAAAACTGGACTGGATCCAATAGGTAAGGTTACTACATAAAATTGTAGGTCATCTGTAACCAAGGTATCTAGAACTCCCCCATCTGGAACACCAGCTGATTTCATATATAAGAACTATGGACCTAGAATCTGTGTTTTTCTACAGAAATGGGTGAACTTTATCAAAGGTGACTTAGAGTTACATTGGCTACAGCGAGAAAACTCTTTAGAAAAGGCATGATGCATGTCTTTGTATCTATGGGACTAACAGGTCCTCCTTGTGTGTATTTTAAAACCCAAACTGAGAGATTTCAAACTAGAACCTCGTGCCCTGAGATTTTTGCCTTTATTGTAAACAGCCAGGCTATTGGAAAAGAAATTGCCCATGTTTTCACCAGCCATCTGATGAATGCACTCACATTGGCCTGGAATGTTTCCCTACTGGAGAAAGTACTTAAGGGCTTGACTCCCAGGACAATAACCAACCAGTCCCTCAGATAAAAAAGCATATTTCCAGGGTGGGAATTTCAAGTCAAGCCCCCAAAAGTCTACAGTCTTAATCTATCCAATTGATATTAGGATCATTTTCAGAAAAACGTTTGTTAGAATTAGTTCTGTTTTTCCTATTCAATCCTGCTTCAACCAGAGGAATTACTCGGTCAACTAAAACCCCTCGTCTCAAACCCCTGATGACATGAAAAGCCTTACTTTTGTTTTAAGTGCTTGTCATGGCCATCTTGTCTTAACTGGGCTTTTAGCTATGCCGTTCTTTCTTGGTTTAGGCAGACTACAGTATTTAAGCCTAAAGTTTAAGCTCTGTGACTTTAAGATGTAAAAATTTAACACTGTCTTCTGTAGGACCTCATAGATATCATTTTAAAATGCAAGTATAGAGAAAATGATAATGATGAAGGAGAAGGAGGAGAAGAGGGAGGAGAAGAAGGTGAAGGGGAAGAGAAAGAACAAGGAAGAAGGAAGAGGGAGGGAGGGAGGTAAGCAAGGGAGGGAGGGAGGAAGGGAGGGAGGAGATGAGGAGGAGGAAGAAGAGTAGGAAGAGGAAGAGGAGGAGGAGGAAGAGGAGGAGCAGGAGGAGGAGAAGATATTTGAAAATTGAACAAATGAAAAAATCTTAAAAGTTTCCCCACAAATATTAGTAGAATATTTAGTCATCTAGGAAAGCAATCTTGTTCCACGGACAAGAAAAAGAATTTGACTCTAAATCTTTAATAAATTAGTGAGTTTCATATTATTGTACTTGAAACACGGTTTAAATTTTCAAATAAAAGCTATAAGAAATGTTTCTCTGTATATATTTTTGTCTAATTGTCTATATGTTATGTATGTGTGGTATTTTTCTACCAGCTTACAGGATTGCCAAAATTAAATTGTAAAAGAGTTCTCTTACATTGGCTGAAAAAAATGAGCACTTGCATAAATTAGATATTCCTTAAACTCTAAGATAGAAACTAACACAAATTATTTTCAAATTTACATGATCTGGGATAGTCTTTGGTAAATAAAAGCTAATTAAAGTGTGTGAGTTTGATTAAAGCAGGTACATCTCCAGATTTCTCAACATTAGACATAATTCAGATGCACAACTTTTTCTACCTAGGTTTATTAGTAAAACAAGCTTATGTTATCTCTATATTAAAAAATTTGTCAGCAATGAAAATAACTTAAGACGATAGCTAGTTGTTTAACGTCTCATCTTCATAAGTAATCCAAGCATAATCATAAAAACAAGTGAATTAAATAGGTGTAAGTAATCTAAAATTCCCATGTGAATGATGTCCTTATACTAGCTGGTTCTAACGTTCTTATCAGCAAGAAGAGAAAGTTGGCCATGCACGGTGGCTCACGCCTGTAATCCGAGCTCTTTGGGAGGCCAAGGCAGGCAGATCACGAGGTCAAGAGATTGAGACCATCCTGGCTAACATGGTGAAACCCCATCTCTACTAAAAATACAAAAAAGAAAAAAAATTAGCCAGGCGTTGTAGCGGGTGCCTGTAGTCCCAGCTACTCGGGAGGCTGAGGCAGGAGAATGGCGTGAACCCGGGAGGCAGAGCTTGCAGTGAGCTAAGATCGGGCCACTGTGCTCCAGCCTGGGCAACAGAGCGAGACTCTGTCTCAAAAAAAATAAATAAATAAAAATTAAAAAAAAGAGAAAGTTGAGGCTACGGGAAATCTGTACAAACAACAAGTTAAAGTGACCTACTAAAAGAAAACCTTGAAAGGACAGAGATAAAATTTTGCCTCTTCTACAGTTTCTCATTACAGGACTAAAGATGGTTTAAACTGTTAGTACACATGTTCTGTGTCATACCAAAAAAAGTGTACTATGAAAAAGTACATATTTCTAGAAATTATGATTCATAGATTTGCCAATCTACAGGAAGCTGGTGTGATATAGCTCAGTTGTTTGCTTCCTAGTGTTCCCTGTAAATTAAGGTCACTAAGAGTTCATTATTTGAATTCATACATGTAACTAAAATTACTAGAAATAATTAGAAAAACCATTCTAAATCCAAGTATATAAAGATGGTAAGCTATGCTTTTGGTAAGAAAAGCTATAAAGTATAAAGTTGTGTTTTTGTTGTTTGTTAAGTAAAAAAGATTTTTTTTTTTGTCCTAAAGCATAAGAAATGGCTGTTTCAAAATGGGAAAAAGAAAAAAGTATAAAACAAACACTGAATGGACATAAGGGTATTGTAGATGGAATGGACAGATATTTTATGTGTGATCAAACTGGCTGCAATTAGAAGGGAATTATTTTTAAGTCTTCCAAAAAAATAAGCATTTATATCAAAAGTACACTGATACAAAACAAGAATTTGATCCTCTATGTTAAAACAACAAGGTTTTCTTGGAGTATTGGTCTGCCTTTAGTAGAAAATTGTAAAAGGCTTTCCTTTTAGATAATTGACCTAGGAAACAAATATTCTGTGTTTTATCAAGATAATTTCCTACACTTCATGCAGTCTGTATGGGATCTTTCATTTCTTAAGAAAAGTGAGTTCTGTTTATTAAATGAACTAAGGTTTTTCTTTCCTATAACTATGTACCTTTCTGTATTTGTCTTTAAATATTTTAATTATCACTCTAGTTAAATGAGTAAGCATTGTTTCACATTGCCCTGTAATCCTATTTTAATCAAGTATTCAAAACCTCTTATTTTTCAAGACTTCCCAAAATCAAAGTCTAAATTAGGATCTTTTGACGTTGAACTAACTTAGGGAGTTTTCCTACAGGCCATAGAAATATCTCAAAAGAATTTTTTTCTTTCTCTTGATTAAAAGAGAGGTGTAAAACTAATTAGGCTTATCTAACATGTTAAATGGCATGGGAAACATTGTCAAATAATAAGTGATACTAAACCTTATTTCAATTATATTGTATGATATGTTATTAATATGTGTTTGAGAAATTATATAAAATTCCAAGGAAACTGATGGTTGTAGTATAATGCTGTCAGTCATAATTCTAGTTATTACCTTAAATTATTTTATGTTGCAAAAACAAAATTTTCTTGCCAGTTGCACTATAATAAACTGTAATAAGATCTTTAAGCCATGGCCATTTTAAGTCTTGTCATCTGTAGATAGTTCATTGTTTTATTCTGTTAGGTTCCTGAAAGCTATTACAAACAGCTGTAAGCCTAAAATATTTTATCTTTCAGGGGATTCACGGAAAGGACTCTAACAAGTACAGGTTTCTGGTAACTTTAAGATCCCATCATTTGACTAGGTAAGAATTCTCAGAATTTTAATGAAGAAACTGATTGGCACCTAAATTGCTAACCCAATATCTAGTAGAACAAGAATTAATTAATTGAATGCCAAGAAAATGCTGTTGCAGATTCTCGTGGTTAAGTCAGCCAATACTGAAATTGTTAAGATACTGTGTTAGTTAATTCTGCATTGCTATAAAGGAGTACCTTAGGTTGGATAATTTTTTTTTTCTTTTCTTTTGAGATGGAGTCTTGCTCTTTCACCCAGGTTGGAGTACAGTGGCCCAATCTCAGCTCACTGCAACCGCCGCCTCCCGGGTTCACACCATTCTCCTGCCTCAGCCTCCCGAGTAGCTGGGGCTACAGGCACCCGCTACCACGCCTGGCTAATTTTTTGTATTTTTAGTAGAGACGGGGTTTCCCTGTGTTAGCCAGGATGGTCTCAATCTCCTGACCTCGTGATCCGCCCGCCTCGGCCTCCCAAAGTGCTGAGATTACAGGCGTGAGCCACCACGCCCGGCCAGGTTGGATAATTTTCAAAAAAAAAAAAAAAAGAGATTTATTTGGCTCATGGTTCTGCAAGCTGTATAAGCATGGCACCAGTATCTGCTTGGCTTCTGGTGAGGCCTCAGGAAGCTTATGGTCATGAAAGAAGGAAAAAGGGAACCTGTTAGATCACGTAGTGAGAAAGGAAGCAAGAGAGTGAAGGGGGAGGTCTACACACATTTTAACAATGAGTTCTCATGTGGACTCATTACCAGAGATGGAGCACCATGCCGTTCATGAGGAATCCATCCTCATGACCCAAGCACCTCTCACTAGGTCCCATCTCCAACACTGGGGATTACCTTTTAACATGAGATTTGGAGGGGACAAATATACAAACCATATCATATATGCAATTTAAGTGAACACAGTAAGATTGACCCAACTCAAATTATCTATGACAACCTATTTAATAAACAGTGCTACACACCTGAAATGAAGAAACAAATGTGTTATTTAAAATTAAGTAAATTCGATGTTAATTGTACACCCATGGAGGACCCAGATGACCACTTCGTCCTTCCTGAGTCCTTAAATCTTCCATTATTTAAAACTATGCACTCCATGAATCATTATGGAAATTTCAAAATGACTTAAATTATGAAAAAAAAATCTTGGAGTGACTAGTCTAAAATTGCTAAAATGGTTTGTAAGCATTTTTTGGTTTGTCAAATCCATAATTCTGGGAAGACAACCAAGTCTTTAGGCGCTGCATTTCTACCTATAAATCATTTAAAATTTTACAAATGGATTTAACTCAATTGCCACCTTCAATGGGATATCAATGTGTTCTTGTAGTTTGTATGTTTCCTGGTTAGACAGAAGCTTTCCTGTATAGGAAAGCCAATGCTATGACAGTAACTAAGAGGTTATTATAAATGTTTTTCTTTTATGGGGTATTCTTGAAGAAATTTCCAGTGATGGAGGCACTCATTTCACTGGGCAAATCATCAAACAGTTAAATAAGATATTACAAACACAATGGCATTATGCAAAACTAACTGAATAGACTGGATTGCCTTGGGCAAATGTATTACTGCTGTCCTTGATGGCAATAATATCTATTCTCCCTGGAAAGCACCAATTATGAAATCTTATCAAATAGTCACTGAGGCCTTTGCCCATAACAATAGAGCTGCCTGTATCTCCTGTTCTTATAAATGATGAAATATTGCCAAGCTTTAATGTATTATGCCAGAGTATATGTTTACCATGTAAAAAAAGCCCTTTGTTACCCACCAACTGATGATAACCACATTTTTCATGATCTAGGGCACAGAATGGCTCTTTTGGAAGTGACACTAGAGAAAGACTGCCCCTGAGCCCCACTGGAGAGAATGATACCAAGCTCTTTTAAGCAATCATACTGCAGCAAAACTTTATAACCTTCAGTCTTGGCTCCCTATCTCTCAACTCAAGAGGACTCCTCCAAGACTGCACATCTTTTGGAGACCTCAAGGCAAAACTGACCAAGGAGATTTCTCTTCAGAAGAAGATGACATCCTAGATGTGGCCAACTTTCCCCAAAACAAGGATCAAAACTTCTCCCCTCTCTCATTATGAAAACTTTGTCTTTTTTATTTTTTCTCTGTGTTTCTTTTCTGTTTACAAATGGTGAGATAATGCCAAAATCAAGATTTCATAGTTGATAACTTCTGCAGAAAACCTAACTGAATGTTGACTATGTCATGTTAAACCAATATCCCTACATGATCTTAGAGATCCTCTAGTTCACCCTGAAACAAAAGTTACTGATATTCCAAATGTGACCATTTTCTCATATTGCAGGTTTGATTCTTCTATAGGGTTAGACTTTTAGATTCACATATTCATATTCCTTGTTTAAAGCTAACAGTAGGCAAAACATATAATGAGGGTTTTGCAGTTAATTATGCCAGAAATTGAATAAGAACAACAAAAAATAGTTTGGCATTTTGTAGACAAATATATAACCCTAATTGTTGATGGGCTCTAACCATGCTATGATTTGATAATAAAGCCTTGGATAAATTTTAGTGCTTTCCTACTAGTGACCCTTAAATCACAAGACATCTTAAAGGGAACTGTCTGTTGTGGCTCTTGAAGATATATTTTTATTTGTAGAGAATTTAAAGATCAGCCGTGTGCTGATCTTTTTGACTCCATGTCTCAAAAAGAGGCCAATGTGGGTTAGGCATTTTAACGGCACCACTCACTCCATAATCAACTGGAAACTGATCATTGATCTATACAATTCAATTTTCAATGTAAAATAAATAAGATTTTTTCTAGCTGTAAATGAGCATCTTTGGGTAGAACACTCCTTTCCTGGCTTGGCATAAATATAATAAAGTTATGGTTAGAAATCAGTCTCAAATACTAACTGATATAGCTGACTATATTGCAAAGGCTATGGCTGCCCAGTACATTTCTTTAAATTCTCTTGATAAGGTTGTTTTAGATAGCAAGATTGTTTTGGACTACCTGTTGGCTGAACAGCGGGGAGTGTCTACAGTAGCTAACACCTCTTGCTGCACACGGATAAATACATCTGGTATAGAAACTAATCTGCAAGAATTCAGCAAACAAGCTATTTGGTTAAAACAAGTAGATTCCACTTCTGGTTTATTTTTTGATTTATTTGATTTTAATTCATATGATTCTTAGGGCTCCTGCTATGGAGTAAACAATATGGGGAAAAGAAAGAGAGATCAGACTGTTACTGTGTCTATGTAGAAAGAAGTAGACATAAGAGACTCCATTTTGTTCTGTACTAAGAAAAATTCTTCTGCCTTGAGATGCTGTTAATCTGTAACCCTACCCTCAACCCTGTGCTCGCAGAAACATGTGCTGTGTCGACTCAAGGTTTAATGGATTTAGGGCTATGCAGGATGTGCTTTGTTAAACAAATGCTTGAAGGCAGCATGCTTGTTAAAAGTCATCACCACTCCCTACTCTCAAGTACCCAGGGACATAAAACACTGCGGAAGGCTGCAGGGAACTCTGCCTAGGAAAGCCAGGTATTGTCCAAGGTTTCTCCCCATGTGATAGTCTGAAATATGGCCTTGTGGGAAGGGAAAGACCTGACCATCCCCCAGCCCGACACCTGTAAAGGGTCTGTGCTGAGGAGGATTAGTAAAAGAGGAAAGCCTCTTTGCAGTTGAGGTAAGAGGAAGGCATCTGTCTCCTGCTCCTCCCTTGGCAATGGAATGTCTCAGTGTAAAACTCGATTGTATATTCCATCTACTGAGATAGCAGAAAACTGCCTTAGGGCTGGAGGTGAGACATGCTGGCTCTTTAAGGCATTGAGATGTTTACGTACGTGCACATCAAAAGCACAGCACCTTTTCCTTTACCTTGTTTATGATGCAGAGACATTTGTTCACGTTTTCCTGCTGACCCTCTCTCCACTATTACCCTATTGTCCTGCCACATCCCCCTCTCCAAGATGGTAGAGATAATGATCAATAAATACTGAGGGAACTCAGAGACTGGTGCTGGAGCGGATCCTCTGTATGCTGAGCGCCGGTCCCCTGGGCCCACTTTTCTTTCTCTATACTTTGTCTCTGTGTCTCTTTCTTTTCTCAAGTGTCTCCTTCCACCTGACGAGAAACACCCACAGGTGTGCAGGGGCAACCCACCCTTTCATCCTTCAGTGTCTTGGTATTATCCTTCTGATAGTCATCATAGTAGTCTGCCTGGTACACTGTATTCTCTCAAGGGTCTTAAATGCTTGTGCGTAGCCATTCACTGTGTATCAAATGGTCTCACTTTGGTTTGAACAACAAAAACACAAAGAGAACAAATCATTCAGCTGACTCGATACTGTACCTTGTGAGTTCCATACTGAGACCAAATATATCCACTATGATGGTGACAAACCTTAGCATCAATGCCCAAGGTTTGCATCAACCTCTCAAGATTGAGAGGCTGACCAGAAAAGGGAATTGTCAAAGTAAATAACCAAGAGGCCATTACCCTGAAGTCTTCTTTGTACTTTGAGTTCCTAGATAACCAACTGCAACCTAACTTAGTACAGAAATAAACCAAAACCAAATTTAGGAGTATAAAAGACAAATTTCAGCCAGTCACAGGCAGCCAACTCATCACACCATACCCAAATGAGGCAGATGCCTAGCTATAGTCAATCAGATAATTTCTCTAACTTGCTTGTTTTTGGCTCATAAACGCTTGTTGCTCACACTGAAGGGTGGAGCTCTCTGAACCACTTTTGGTTCTGAGTATTGCCCAATTCATGAATTATTTATTGTGCAAATAAACTCTGCTAAACGTAATTTGTCTAACATTCTTCTTTTAATAATGTTTAATTATTAGGATATACTTTGTTAATATATATAATGTAATATAAAGATAATAGATTAGGCTAAATTGTTAAAATTATACCACTTTGCTTTTCATTGTTCTCTTTTTCTCCAAAGTACTTTTTGCTTAAAGTGGATTGGATGTCAAATAGACCATCTTTGCCACTTCTTGCTGCAAGTGTGTAAATTTATAAGTAAAAGACTACTCATCTTCAAAGTTATACAGGGATGGCTTTTTTCAATATTTCTTCAGTCAATTCCAGTGTTTTATTCACTTGGTAGACAAGAAAGCCTTCTTTACCTATGCAGTGTAATATTAAACAGGGTTGTCCAATTAAAACATAACGTGAGCCACATATGTAGTTTTAGAATATTTAGTAGCCACATTTTAAGAAGTAAACAAGTTTTTAGTAATTTATTTAATCTAATATATCCAAAATGTTATAATTTCAACATATAATCAATATACAACCTCCTAGTATAATATTTTATATTCTTTGCTTGTTACTACATATTTGAAATCCAGTTCGTAATTTACACATAGAGCACATGTCAATTTTGACTAGCCACATTTCAAGGGCTCAATAGTTCCATGTGGCTAGTTGCTAACACATTGGACAGTATAGGTTCAGGAGAAAGTGTTTTGAGTCAGAAAATTTGGTATTCCAATCTACCTGCTCAGTCATCCATGTGACATGGTAAAGCTTTTTAACCTTTCTAAAAACATCATGTTTTACATCACAGTGTTTTAAAAATATTAAATGAGACAACATACATAAATTCTTTTTTTCACAGTTTCTGACTCTTAGGAAACATTTAATAAGTGTCAGATCTCTTCCTCTAAATCATTCTGAAATTTCACATTGTGTTTGAAAAAAGCTTTTTTGTCTATTCAGTATACATCACACATCCATCCATCCATCCACAACTCTTTGAAAAAGTAAAAACACTAATGAAAGCATCTTTATTGCAGTAGTTACATGTAACATTTTATTTAACTCACTCTTCTTCCCCCACCCCCACCATCCAGAAACTCCTTTTTTTCCTATAGCACTTATCAACAACAACACACTATACAAATTTGTGATTAATAATGCTTCATATTGACTTTCTTTCCCCCTTTGCTACAATGTCAGCCACATGATGGCAGAGATCCTTCTCTGATTTATTCAACAGATATTCCAAGCACCTAGAATAGTGCCTCAAAAAAATGGGCTTCAAAAAAATATTTCCTGATGAATGAATTATTGAAGAAACATTTTTTTCATCATGCCAATGTACATTATTTTACTTTTGTGTCACCCACCTGTGAAAACACCTCCATTTATTCACATACATTTTCAATGTGGTGATTGAAGCATCACAGAAATCCCAAATGTTTCACTTTAATACTCTCAGGATTTAATTTTATTATTATCATGACTATTGGTAGTAATTAACTCCTTTTGAGTATCCAAACACTAACCAATATTAAACAGAAATTTGTTCTGAATTGGCATCACAATAAATTCCAATGTATTGTTTAAAATTCATATTAAAGAAGAATTTATGTATCATATTCTTTGTTATGTTTCAGTATAACTTGAAAACCTAGTGAAGAGATATTATTATTATTATTATGTATTGTCTTCACTTCTATCTGGTGTACAACTCCCTTGGTATTTTCTAAATAATCAGTTCTAATTCCACACTAGATTTCATATTGTTAGGTTTTTTCACTAGATTTGATCACGTTCATACTTTGTGGGAACGATTTTTCTAAACGCCTTTATTTTGAAAATTTTTACATTTATACCAAAGCGGAAATAATAGACTAATGAACTCCTACCTACCCAAAACCCAGCTTTAACCATTTCAACCCATGGTGATATAGTTTGGATATTGGTTCCTGCCTAAATCTCATGCTTAACTGAAATCCCCGTTGCTGGAGTTGGGGCCTGGTGAGAGGTGACTGGATCATGGCGGAAGATCCCTCCCTTATGGCTCGGTGCTCTCTTTGTGAGAGTGAGTTCTCTGGAGACCTGGTCAGTTAAAAGTGTGTGGCACCTCCTCTCCCTGCCACTTTCTCTCTTGTTCCTGCTTTCACCATGCGTTGTGCCTGCTCCCCCTTCACCATCTGTCATAATAGCAAGCTTCCTGAGGCCTTCCCAGAAGCCAAGCAGATGTTGGCACTATTCTTCCTGTAAAGGCTGTAGAACTGTGAGTCAACTAAATTTCTTTATCACTTACCCAGTCTCAGGTATTTCTTTATAGCAATGCAAGGATGGCCTAATACACATGGTCCATCTTGCTTTGTCTATATTTCCACCCACATTTTCAATACTACAGAATTATTTGAAAGCAAGCCTGGTATCAAATTGCACCATCTTTAAATACTTCAGTATATATTTTTATCAGATAATGACTTCTTTTTTATTACTGGCATATTACATTTAACCACACTTATTATCATATCTAACCAATAGAAAATATATTTTATGTAAATATTTACTTATATATGCACATTTGAATTAGAATATATACATGTATATGGAAATATATATATATATCTCAACAATATTTTTAGTATCATGACAAAAATGGTTGCACTTGTATGATACACAAGTGTCAATAGATATGAATAATTGATGCTCACTTCCAAATCAATGCCTCCTACAGGTGCATCTGATTGATAGCTTTCATTCTAAGTACATGAGAATTTGAATGAGATTGGGCTCATATAGCTGGATAATAAACCCAGTCACAGTTCTCTAAAGAGCAATGAGAAATCTGATTTTTGTCCATTATGCTGAGTTCTGTTTCTTCCAGGGATAACTGTTCTTTTCCTCTACTTTCTCTTTCATGACATTGGTTGTCTTCAAATGTGTGGTGATTCTTGGTTATTCATTTAAACTCATGAATGAAAGCCTCTGTTGCTTAGCACACAATAAAGAATTTCAATAGTCAACAGAAAGAACTGTTTTCCCAACAGACTTCTGTGATTGGGAGGATGAATAGCAGGTGCTTTGGATGTAGGTTGAGCATGCAGGCAAATACACTTCCCCATAGGGCAGGCATTCTCATCCTTGACCACGCACTGGAATCCCACGCAGAATTCTTAAAAATCTTCATGCCCAGGCTACAGCAAAGACCAATTAAATAAGAATCTTTGTGGGTGGGACCCAGCTATTAGTACTTTTATTAAGTCCCTAGATGATTCTAATATGCAGCCAAGGTTCAAAACCACTCCCTATTGTGATGATCCTGTGTAACCCCAACTATGACACTGACTCATTTTCAGGCTGTAATTATCTCATGATTATCTTTCCCCAGGCAGATGTCCAAATTTCTTTAGACTGCCCTTCCCTGACTTTATCCTGAGAGAGAAAGCCATTTATGCGAGCAGTTGTGTTTGGAAGCAGTGATCATTGGTTGAAATGTGAGAAGCAGGGCCAATTTCCCTATTCCTCCAAGTGGTCTGAGTGAGTTCCCCTGAAGAGTTCTTCACAACCTTTCTTAGAATTTGTATTAGTCTGCTAGCACTGCCACAACAAAATACCAGAGGCTGAATGACTTAAACGACAGAAATTTATTTCTTCACAGTTCTGAAGGCTGGAAGTCCAAGACCAAGGTGCCAGGAGATCTGATTTCTCCTGAGGCCTCTTTCCTTGGCTTGCAATGACTGTCTTCTCTCTGTGTCCTTACGTGGCCTTTCCTCTGTACTTGAAGATTCCTGGTGTTTCTCCTTCATTTTATGAGGACAACAGTCCTATTGAACTAAGACTCTTATGACCCCATTTAACATTAATCACCTACTTAAAGACCGTATCTCCAAATAGTCACACTAGGATTAGCACTTCAACCTAGGAATTCTGGAGGAAGGGGGCACAATTCAGTCCTTACCAGTACTTTTTACTTGGATCTTAGGATATCTGTATATATGTGTAGCTTCTTTGGGAAGACCTATAGTGAACTATTTTTCCTTAACTTAGGATTTCTGATCCCATTTGCCTTTTTCCTCTTCCTCCTACTCTACCTCTCCCTCTTCCTCCTCCTCTGCCTCTTTCTCCTTCTTTTTCTGCCCCAGCTCCTCCCTCATCTTCTCCTTCTTTTTCTTGGAATGCCTCAAAAATTTCTTGTCAAACAGTTTAATCTTTAAAAAATGTGTTACAGGCCGGGCGCGGTGGCTCACGCCTGTAATCCCAGCACTTTGGGAGGCCGAGGCGGGTGGATCATGAGGTCAGGAGATCGAGACCATCCTGGCTAACAAGGTGAAACCCCGTCTCTACTAAAAATACAAAAACTTAGCCGGGCGCGGTGGCGGGCGCCTGTAGTCCCAGCTACTCGGGAGGCTGAGGCAGGAGAATGGCGTGAACCCGGGAAGCGGAGCTTGCAGTGAGCCGAGATTGCGCCACTGCAGTCCGCAGTCCGGCCTGGGCGACAGAGCGAGACTCCGTCTCAAAAAAAAAAAAAAAAAAAAAAAAAAAAATGTGTTACAATATAGTCATTATATGTTTTTGTATATGTGTGTGTGTGTCTGTGTATGAGTGTGTGTGCAAGTATGTCTTTAAGTGTATGTGTATGTTTGAGTGCATATGAGTAAGATCAAAGTGGGTCCAGGAATAATGGTCTGGGAATCATGTGAGGGAGTGCTGGCTTTTCTATATCTAACCCCATATCCCTGTCCAACCTTCTCAAGCAAATGAATTAGTAGAAGTAGGGGAGTCTCTCTCTACTCTATCAGAGACCAGGGTGATACAAATCAAGAGTGAAATTGAGGTTTAGTGGCCCTGAATACGAAGGTTAAGGGGATCCAGGCAGAGCTGTTTATAAGGAAAGAACACACTACAGTGATGTCCTGGAAAAGGGCTTGGATTCGGATCCATACGCCAGGGTTTCCACTCCGGCTTTGCTACTCATTTTACGGGTTGAGAAAAACCATAATATCTGTGTTCCTCATCTCTGATATCAGAATAATATCCATCCTGTCTGCCCATAGGAAGTACAGTTATCATCTGCATAACCTGCAGGACACTATCAACCAAATATCAAATTGAGTTGTATTTATTGAATACTATATGTCTTAAATTGCTATTATACATAGGAGAGCATTAGCTTGCTAAGATTATTTGGGGGTGTTTTCTGACCTTGAGTGGTGAGTATAGAAATGCATGATAGTAAGCTTGTATGCTCTTGTCAGTCAGCATATTTGATTCCATAGTTATTTACCAAACATTTAGTTAATTCATATTCTGTTCCCAGCACAATGAATGGTATTTAGTAAGCACTCAGGAAATGCTTAATGCATTAAGTAATCCAAAATACTTCACTGTCAATAAATATAGTAGGGGATAGTTCCAAGTAACCTACAGAAGTATTTATCAGGTGCAATTCAAACTTATTTAAATGCTAGAGGAGACGTAACAATAGCAAAAGATGTGACAGTTGTCTTACTGGAGTTGATAGTCTAATTGTGGAGATGGCCGATTATATCATTTAAAAGAACATAAAGTTATGAAGGAAGGGAAAAAGAGAGACAGCAGCAGCTTTGTGCCTTATGCCTTCATTAATTCAAGCTACATAAATGTCACCCTTGCCATTCAATCTTGTATACATTAAGTCTAAACAGTATTCATGTGTAGACCAGAGAGTCGACTGATGTTTGTTGTTTCTCTCCCCAACTTCGTCAATGTCTCCAAAAAGGCTCATAAATAGCCCTGTGATGGGCAGTGAAAATGGCCCTCTTATGTATCTAATTCTTCATCTTGATAACAATAAGTGCAAAGGTCCATAAATACAATTTTAATTAACAGCTCTGCTGTGATGCTTAGAAATAGACCATAGGCTCACTGAATTTGTTGGCCTTCTCATAAAGAATTTTGTTTTTCCCAGAGGGTCAAAATTAATTAATGTCCTTACAATTTATTCAGCATCCCATTATTTCAGAGATGCCTAAATAGTCTCACTCAGCCGTATTAGTGTATCAAGAATGATATAATCAGGCTGCTTTGAAGAGAGCACTCTGTAAAATATACTGTCTCAAGTAGTGATTAACAAGGAGGATAATAAAGTATTCTGTCAGAATTACTGCTTTTTTTTAAATCTGCAGACAACATTGCTTGTATATAACATTACATAAATAACCAGATTCAAAACTTTTCATGTGATCTTTGATGAACATACACAAGCTCTAAAAGTTCAAAAAAGAAAAATTAATACTCTTAATAATCTTTAATGTTTCCATTAAAAGGTATCAATTGAACACTCGTGTTTTCTTTCTGAACAACAGATGTAAACTTTCTCATATCTATTGACTATACTTTAATCTTGTTCTCAACTGAGCCTGCAGTTTTTGTATCATTAGTATTATTATAGCAGAAGACATGCTCTGTAGTTTTCAAATACCGTCCTAGGATAAGGGAAGATTATGGCAGATAATATCTAACGAGCTCACAGGCATTTGTGTCCACACGTTATTGTCCAGATCTTAGCAGAATAAATGAAAATTGGCTTGTTTCTCATATTTTCTCAAAAAATCCCATATATTCATCTTTGGGAATTATAGAAGTAAAAAAGTTCCATCTAAATGTCAATTTGTTGTTGTGATATTTATCATAATGGAGAAAATAATATGTTTATAATAAGATTTTATAAATTTTGATATTTTCAAAAAGTAAAATACTATAAAACTATGCTGTGCAAGATACTTCACTACATATAAACTTATTTACACTACATTTTTAGAATTACAGAATCAAATAGAAACCTATTTCTCTCTGAAAATGCATAACATTAAGAAAGAATGGGAGTATGAACATACATAAGGCTTATCGATGGCTTTAACATTACTCTGAGTTTACTAGAAAAGTTTTTTCTGCTTATTTATATTTTAAAAATTTTAGAAAAGTTTATTATTTAGTAATGTAAAATTGATAAATAGAAATATTGAAGAAAAAGTAAATATTAAAAGGACAAGAACAGTTCAGACCTTTCAAGTGGCAAACCTTAATATATTCACCACGCTTTTCACAAACACACAAATGTGCTACCACCATGTATACTGGATTTTCTTTTCAGGTACAGTTCCTGTTACTTGCTTCTTCTTTTCTTTTCTTTTCTTTTCTTTTCTTTTTTTTTTTTTGAGACAGAATCTTGCTGGAGTGCAATGGAGTAAACACGACACTGCAGCCTCAATCTCATGGGCTCAAGCCATTCTCCTGCCTCAGCCTCCCGAGTAGTGGGGACAACAGGCACTCTACCACACCTGGCTAATTTTTTATTTTTTGTAGAGATGGGGTTTCACTATGTTGCCCAGGCTGGTCTCGAACTGCTGGGTTCAAGCAATCCTCCTGCCTCAGCCTCCCAAAGGGCTGGGATTACAGGCATGAGCCACCCTGCCCAGCCTTGTTTCTTTTTCTACTGAGTTTATTTCCTCCTCTACTTTAACCCTGTCACCCATTCAGGTAATCTATGTTAATAAACAAGTATGTATCCTTTTATCCTATCCTCCATGCTCACAGTCATTCATAGAAATATCTATGTACAGATTTATACATATGCACAATAAGGGGGTACTAGTTGTTGTCTGCTTTAGAAAAACTAGATCACACTATCTTAACATTTTGCATATTGCTTTACTCCTTCAACACTGTCATTTGGAAATCCTTTCAAATCAACTATACATGACTAAACTCTTTTTAGTGACTGCATAATATTGCACATTGTGGATTTTACAAGTTACCTTGGCTTCCAGGCTGTTTCTCTGGGTTCTCAACAGGGGCAATTTCTAAAGATATTTTGGCTTTATTATAATTAGAAAGAGGAGTGCTTCCGACATCTAGTTGGCAGAGGCCTCAAGTGCTGCTAAACATCTTACAAATGCACAGGTCAAACCCCTAATTAATTAGACTGACCCAAATGTCATTAGCAACCAGGTTGAGACACCTTCCAAAAACAGGCTGATCTAGCTCTGGAACATTCTTTCCTTAGGTAACCACAGGTCACTTCCTCACAGCTCCTTCAGGTCTCTTGTTGAATGGCATTTCTGTGCAGGGTCTAATTTGACCAGCCTATTTACAGGCCATCCTCCCAACTCCAAGGCACATACCTATCTACTGGCTGTCACACTCCTATGTACTCCATTCCTTTCTTTTTGTCCCCTTAACTTCTAATAAGCCATCTAATTTATTTATTTATTATGTTTACCCATTATCTTTTCCCTCCTTCTGTAATGTAAGCTCCACCGTGACAGGGATTTATGCCTGTTTCATTCACTGATGCATCCACAGGACCTGGCCAAGTGCCTGGCATTTGAGAAATAGTTAAGTGAATGAAGGAAGGAACATATAAATGATCACATAATAGGCATTCATTTATTTCCCATTATTTCTGCTAAAAGCAATGCTGACATAAATATCCTCATATAAGTCATTATGTGTTGGCCCTTCTATGTCCAAGAGGCCAAAATGCTTTCTAAATTGGGTTTAGAAGCTGACTTCAGGTTTTAAAAGTTGACTTCTATGTCAAAGAGGCCAAAATGCTTTGTAAATTGGGTTTAGGAGGTTTTAAAATATTCTGCTCTAAATTACACACAGTTTACTCTCTGTTTTCTTGCAAAGATTTTCTTATTTTTATTTGTTACATTTAAGTCTTTATCTAGATTGTATTGCTGTATATGATATAAAACTTGGATTTAATTTTAAGTCCTTCCAGGTGGATAACCAGATATGCCAGCACCATACTGTATAGTCCATCTTTTGCCCACTATTTTAAATATCTACCTTTGTTATACACTAAATCCTTCTAATTACTGACCTTAGTTTCTTGATTCTCTGTCCTGTTCATCTTATAGTATACACTAACTTCATGTTTTTAAGGGAAACAAAAGCTTGTGAAAGGGAGCTACAACGTGGCAAGTCAAAAGGAGTTAGAATATTCAATTTAAAGGTTAATTCTACCAGACATAAAAAGAAGAGCTGGTGACAATTCCAAAAATTCAAGGAGGAGGGACTCTTCCCTAACTCATTCTATGAAGCCAGCATTACCCTGATACTAAAATCTGGCAAAGCCACAGTGAAAAAAGTAAACTACAGGCCAATATCCCTGATAAACACAGACACAAAAATCCTCAACAAAATACTTGAAAACCAAATCCACCATCATATCAAAGAGTTAATTCACCACAATCCAGTAGGGTTCATTCCTAAGATGCAAGGTTGGTTCGACATACGCAAATCAGTACATGTGATTCACCATATAGAAGGAATTAGGGAAAAATCTTTAAAACAAGAATGAATGTCCATACTGTAATTGAATAGCATGATACATTCAATCTGCCTGGAATATATAAATAATAAAATTAATGTGCTCTTTTCACTAGTCATATAATGGCTAGGACAATCTTTTGAAAGTTACTTAAATTCCATGTAATCTCGTTCTTTTTTACTGTGCATATGCTTCAACTGTTTTGAAGAATATTGTATTGGTTAGGGTTCTCCTGAGAAACAGAATCAACAGGATGTGTGTATATACAGAAGGAGATTTATTATAAGGAATTGGCTCATGACATTATGAAGGCTGCCAAGTCCAATATCTGCAGGGTGGACTGTCAGGCTGGAGAACCATAAAAGCCCATGGTGCAGATGAAATCTGAAGACATTCCCTTGGGGATCCTTCTTGCTGCATAGGCTGGTTTTTTTTTTTTTTTTTCTATTCAGGCCTTCAGTTGATTGGAGGAGGCCACATTATGAAGGGCAATCCACTTTACTCAAAGTTCATCAATTTAAATGTTGATCTCATCCAAAACATCTCCAATTTGACACATAAAATTAGCATCACAAATATCTTAGATATTTTTTTATCCCTAATAAAAGCTAGATTTCTAAGATAAATTCTGAGTCAGTAGGACTTTTTTGTAAGAGTAAATAAGATTACAAGCTTACTCCTACTTTGAGTCTATTAACTGTAAAGCCATTAAAGATTGCATAATCTGAAATCACAGGGCAGAAAGCAACACTTGTGAAGATTATGCTGATACTCACTCATTCCATCACCACTTACCATTTTACACTTTGGCTCCTGTACTTCAAAATGATGGGAAGGAAATTGGTGGTCAGCCATTTCATTGTTGTGACTGGCCATTGTCACAACAGGATAACTTTTAGCATTGCCAGTTGTATATCTTTGCATATTGCAATCATTAATCTGAATGCCACCCACCTACCCTCCTCCAATTAGGGAATTTAATGGCACCCTTAGGGTAGAGTGAGTAAAATCTGTGAGTCTCTTAAAATATGAGTCATGAGTTGCTTTGTTGTAGCAGTGTCAGCTCTGGGTCTATTTAGTAATTCAGAGTTTGCAATAGAAGAGACTAGCCCTCTTTCCATAAAACCTACTGAGCTCTGTCCCCACATACACATAAGAAATGCACACTGAAATTCACACAAATTGTTAAAGCAGACTTTAAGATGAGTGGGTTTCTTGGTCTGGGGATGGCTACTAGATTTACCTGGCGTGTGATCAGAGTCTGGAATTAATGCTTTGGCAGGAATTCTGCTGCCAATGGCCCAGTCCAAGTCATCCTCAGAGTCTTGAGTAAGACTGCAGGCTGTGGTCCAGTTTCCTGAACTTGTTTCAAAATTGCAGCTTCCTGTTGTGCTTGTATAATGTGCTGGGGAAGCAAAAACATTAATGGAATTTCTGGAAATGTCTATCACATTTGCTACTACCCTATATTTGGGATCATTTAAAATTAGTATCTGCATATTCTAATTCTTTATAAATACACTTACAGCATCAAGACATTTGTACTCATTGTTAATATTTTAATTGAAGGATCTAGAAGCAGTGTATGAATGTTGTCACTTATTCATTAAGGAGTTATATGCATTGACGAATAATATTTATAGATGATAGTTAAAACTGTGTCTACACATGAACAATAAACATAACATTATGCTAATACAAGATTATTCAGGTCAAATAAATAAACAGCTTCAGTTGTCTGGATGTTTAATTCACTTCCGTCCCTTATTCTGATGTTTGAATAGCATAGCCTATTAGCGACGCAAAGTCATTTACTCAAGAAAAGGCACTTTGGGAGAAGTAGTAAACTGTATAGGACACAAATTATCTTGGACACCATACCAATCACTGCAGCATCAAATATCAGAGCTAGTCACTAAATTAAAGAAAGAAATTCTCTTCTAAAAGTGTTGATTGATAACTCATTAAAAATTAAATTATTCACAGTGAGAAAAATTAATAGATAATAACTGTATCTATTTCTAGTCACCTGTGAAAAGTGCCATCATGATACCCTGATCTAGGCTTTCATTTTTCTTTTTTTTGTACATCAGTTATTACTTTTGAAGCACTCACTGTAAAACCAGACTGCGTTGTACAGACAGAATGAATGACTGGGTGATTTAATTGGTATGAATCAATTGAGATTGTCATTGACTTTTCCTTTCTTTTTAGAAAGAAAGTTTGTGTTATTTTTAAACTTCCTTCTCGTTCACAACTTTTCCTTAACATACAACCAATGTTAGCATATAGAAATGTAATCAGAAAAAAGCCTTGCTGTAAGAATAGATACTAAATATATAGCAAGCAAAGCTTTAATATTTCCACACAAAACTTTCTGGATCCCTGAGATTATTTAAATAAAATATTAGCATTTTACTTCTCAAGCATTATTGTATCTTATCCCTACAAATTACAACCACTTGTATTCATGTACATTCCTTTCGTTCATTCTATATGACTATATATAATCTATTGCTTCTTGTATGCTTATTTATGGGCTCTGTGTGCCTTTTTTGTGTTTGTCATGCCAGTGTTATATAATATAGAATAGGTTTTTATTATGTGATATGGATAAAAAATGAGACATTCCGTTCTGCTGGTGTTTAGCCAACACATCTGTAAAAATTCAGAATCTTGCAATGGACATAAAAGACAGTCATCATGTGTTCTTTAGAATGATGTCACCTGCACATTCTTTACTAGTTTTCTATGTAAGTGACTCCCTGATATACAGCCCTACAATATTTATTCCGCATCCTTTTCTATTCTCTGTGATCATCCTTGTACCTCCTGTCCCGCTTTGCTTAATATATGACTTTATTTTTGATGCTAAAGATATTTATCCAATCAGGATAAATTCTCTTACATTTCATTCACTCAATCTCAAAATATGCCACTTTTCTCTTTCTTAAGGCTAATCTCTGTTTATGATCTCAACTCCTTATGAAAACACTGCTATTGACTTTCCACAGCTTCATTTTCTGCAAAGTTACACATTTTTCCACGTCCTTCAATTTCACATCCTCTTCTAATTCCTTTCTTCTAATTTGCAGCCACACAGCCAGGCTGACCCTATTAATTTAAAAATATTCACATATATTTGCTTGCTTATATTTCTCACTCTGTATTGGCCTTAGTCATCCCTTTCCATGGCCTTTCACACTTTTATGCAGATGTCCCACCAATCAATAACTGCAATGGTTAATTTGAGATTATTTGAGGTTGTTAACTTGAGATCTTTCCAACTTTTTGATGTGGGCATTTGGTGCTATAAATTTCCCTCTTAACAGTGTCTTAGCTGTGTCCCAGAGATTCTGATATGTTGTATGCCTGTTCTCATTAGTTTCAAAAAATGTCTTGATTTCTACTTTAGTGTCATTATTTACCCAAAAGTCATTCAGAAGCAGGCTGTTTAATTTCTGTGTAAATGTGTTGTTTTGAGAGATCTTCTTGGTATAGATTTCTATTTTTATTGTGCTGTGATGGTTGGTATAATTTTGTTTTTTTGGAATTTGCTGAGGATTGTTTTATGTACAACTGTGTGGTCAATTTTAAAGTATGTGCCATCTGGCAATAAGAATGTATATTCTGTGGTTTGGGGGTAGGGTGTTCTGCAGATGTCTATTAGGTCCATTGGTCAAGTGTTGAGTTCAGGTCCTGAATATCTTTGTTAATTTTCTGCCTCAATTATCTGTCTAATACTGTCAGTGGGGTGTTGAAGTCTTCCACTATTATTGTTTGGGAGTCTAAGTCTCTTCATAGGTCTCTAGAAACTGGCTTTATGAATATGGGTACTCCTGTGTTGGGTGCCTATATATTTAGGATAGTTAGGTCTTCTTGTTGAATTGAATCCTTTACCATATCTACAGTCATTGTCTTTCTTGATCTTTATTGGTTTAAAGTCTATTTTGTCTGAAATGAGGTTTGCAATCTCTGCTTTTTACTGATTTCCATTTGCTTGGTAGGTTTTTCTCCTTCCCTTTATTTTGAGCCTACGGGTGTCACTGAGTGTGAGATGGGTCTCTTGAAGACAGCCAACCACTTGGTCTTGCTTTTTTATATAGCTTGCCACTCTGTGCCTTTTAATTGGGGCATTTTGCCTATTTACATTCAAGGTTAACATGACAATGCATGGATTTAATCCTGTCATCATGTCATTAGCTGGTTGTCATGCAGATTTGTTTGTCTGGTTGCTTACAGTGTCACTGGTCTGTGTACTTAGGTGTGTTTTTGTAGTGGCTGGTGATGGTCTTCAGAAGCTCTTTTAAGGCAGGTTTGCTGATAATGAATTATCTCAGCATTTGCTTGTCTGAAAAGGATGTTATTTCTCCTTCATTTATGAAGTTTAGTTTGCCTGTATGTGAAATTCTTGGTTGTAGGTTTTCTTTTTTTTTTTTTTTAGAATGTTGAATATAGGCCCCCAATTTTTCTGGCTTGGAAGGTAAAAGATTCACTGCTGAAAGATTCACTATTAGTCTGATGAGGTTCCCTTTGTAGGTGACCTGTCCTTCCTTTTTAGCTATCTTTAACCTTTTTTCTTTCATTTTGACCTTGGGAAATGTGATTATTATGGCCAGGTGTGGTGGCTCATACCTGTAATCCCGGCACTCTGGGAGGCCGAGGCAGGCAGATCACTTGAGATCAGGAGTTTGAAACCAGCCTGGCCAACATGGCAACACCCCATCTCTACTAAAAATAGAAAAATTAGCTGGGTGTGGTGGTAGACACTTGTAATCCAAGCTGCTAATGAGGCTGAGGCGGGAGAATTGCTTGAACCTGGGAGACGGAGGTTGCAGTGAGCTGAGATTATGCCACTTCACTCCAACCTGGGTGACAAAGCAAGACTCTGTCTTACAAAAAAAAAAAAAAGTGATGATTATGTGTCTTGTGGATAATCTTCATGTGTAATATCTTGCAGGGGTTCTCTTCATTTCCTGAATTTGAATGTTGGCCTCTTTAGTGAGGTTGGCAAAGTTTTTATTAACAATATCCTGAAAGCAATTTTTCAAGTTGCTTGCTTTCTCCCTGTCTCTTTCAAGGATACCAGTGATTCATAGATTTGGCCTCTTAACATAATCCCATATTTCTGAGAGAATTTTTTCATTCCTTTTTATTCTTTTTTCTTTATTTTTGTCTATGTTTTTTCAGTAATCCAGTCTTCAAGCTCTTGATTCTTTCCTGAATTTGTTCTATTCTGGTGCTAATACTTGCTATTACATTGTAAAATTCTTGTAGTGTGTTTTTTAGCTCCATTAGGTGAATTACGTTATTTTTTTATACTGGATATTTCATCCGTCAGCTCCTGCATAATTGTTATTCTTAGCTTCTTTGGATTGGGTTTCAATGTCCTCCTGAATCTCAATAGTATTTGTTCCTACCCATATTCTGAATTCTATGTGTGCCATTTCAGCCATCTCACCTGATTAAGAACCCTTGCTGGAGAACTAGCACAGTCCTTTGGAGAACAGAAGACACTCTGGCCATTTGAGTTGCCAGAGTTCTTTCACTGGTTCTTTCTTATTTCTGTGTGCAAATGTTCCTTTAACTTCAGTGTAGATTGAGTACAGTCATTAGAATTATTTTCTGCATGTTTCCAGAGGGCTGAGGCTTTGCTCAGGGTCTTCATTTGTAGCTGACTTCTTGCCTTTGGTTTGATGGAGGGTATGCTAGCAAAGTACTTTGGTGTTGACGATTTGGGGTGTAATCCAGCCAGCATGTGGCGCTAAGTGCAGTGGTCAGCAGGTAGGCTCTTAATCATGTGGCTCCTCTATATTTCCTCACAGTTGCAGCTGTGCTCCCTCTTAATGCCCTGAATGTGTGGGCTCCTCTTCCACCTGAGTGCTGGCTGCAGTTTACAGGCTTGAATTTGTCCAAGTTTTTACTGTGTCGTGGGTGACTATTAAATGCCCTACTTAGTACATCTTGTGGGGAAAATGGTGATTTCACACGTTTTAGAGTCTTCCATTGAAATTAATTCCTTACACTCAGTATTTTTAAAAATACACTTTTGTCGTGTTTTTTGTTTTTTTGTTTTTTGAGACGAGTCTCACTCTGTCGCCCAGGCTGGAGTGCAGTGGTACAATCTCAGCTCACTGCAACCTCCACCTCCCAGGTTCAAGCAATTCTCTGCCTCAGCCTCCCAAGTGGCTGGGATTACAGGCATCCACCACCAGGAACGGCTAATTTTTTTTTTTTTTTTTTTAGTAGAGACGGGGTTTCACCATGTTGGCCAGGCTGGTCTTGAACTCCTGACCTTGTGATCCACCCGCATCGGCCTCCCAAAGTGCTGGGACTACAGGTGTGAGCCACTGCGCCTGGCCGGTGAATTTAAAAGAAGCTAGAAATAACACTAGAAAGTGTTACTCAGTGAACTATAAGTTTTATTTGAGAATGTACATACTATGAAAGAAATACATGATATTTTATAAAATTAATACTATAATTCTATGGTATTAGTAATAAAGTCTTAAGATGTGTTGATTGTTTTGACTTTTTAAAAATACTTTCATTTAAAATTAAAATATGAAACGAACCTTGAAGACATTAGGGTAAGTGACACAAGCCAGTCACAGAAAAGAAAAATACTATATGACTCCACTGATATGAGGTACCTAGAATAGAAATGAAAGATCTTTTATAGAGATGGAGAGGAGAAGGGTGGTTACCATGGTCTAGGGGAAGGGGTAAATGGAGTGTTATTCTTTAATTAATACGGTTTTGTTTTTCTTGGATGAAAATAGTTCTAGAGGTGGATGGTGGCAGTGGTTGCACAACAATACAAATGTACTTAATGCCATTAAATTATACATTTTAAATGGTTGAAATGGTAAATTTTTTATTATGTGTTTTTTACCACAGCTTTTTAAAGTTTAAAAATATATTAAAAATTTTAAATAGAAAATGAGCCCATTGGAAGCATCAGTATAAGATCCTAAGAAATAAAAAATTAAATTGAGCTATACAATAAAAATGTAAATATGCTTGTGTGGTAGTTTGTCTCCAAAAAGGTCACCCTACAACCTTCTCTACATTTGATGTATTTTCCCATTGAAAGTCTAGTCTAGACTTTGTTTTCTCATTGAAAGTCTAGTCTAGACTTTGTTATTTGCTTGGCCATTAGCAGGAATCAGGTATGGTATTATGCAACATCTGAGGCTAAATCAAAGTAACTGTTGCTATTTTTCCTGAGGATCGGGGGACACTTTCTAGTAGAAGCCAGCCCTGTGTACAATGGCTTACCACCCTGTGGCTACCATGTTATGTAAAGCCCAAGCCACATGGAGTACTCTGGAGGATGAGACACCATCTCTAGTAAGACAGAGAGACCAAAGAGTATCAAGAGAAGAAGTCATCTTGGATGTGATTATCTAGTTCCACCCTATCAGTTCGACTCAGGCCATCAGAGACAAACTGCCCAGAAGAGCCCTTCCTGAATTACTGACCCAAAAAATTGTGAGCAAAATGTAACAGTGGCCTAGACCACTAACTTCTGGGGTAGCTTGTTAGGCAGCAAATGGTAACTGCAACAGGTAGCTGGTATGGTATCAATATTCTCTAGGAAAGATAAGATAAATGGAAAAAATATCCTTTTTTTCCAGTACAATATATGGAAAAAAGATCCTTTGAATTTAAATATCTGCTCATATTTTAAAATTATATACTTAGTTTTATATATGTTTTTAAACATTGCTTGAATTAAAGCTTGAATAAAAATACAATGGAGCCCAACCAGTCCTCTTTCTCCAGTGCAATGTAATTGATAAAATTAATTACTAAACTGGTATTTATTAAAAGTGATCATTTTCAGCTGCATATACAAAATCAACAATTTTTTGGAAAAAAAAATAGAAAAAAAAAAACAACCAATAAAGAAAGGCAGATTGCTACTGCAGTTCCTAGAAACTTTAATTCTAACCCTACACACAGTGTGCCTAATTACAGAATGGGATTATTTTTTGGTAAAATGATTTTCTATAGACTTGTTACTGTTCTCAGTATGGGGTAAAGAATATGAAAGTACTGTCATTTGTATTTGTATTTGATACTTGTATACAAATTTGGGGAAATATTTGGGCTATTCTAAATCTACTCTAGTGCATGAAAATAATATTTCTTCTCCATCATCAACACCAATATCTAACTCTACTTATGAAGGAAAATATCTGCTGAACTGGCTGCCATACAGCAGATAGATAAACTTACCACAGTGAGCTTCATCAGACCTATCAGAGCAGTCTGGCTTATAGTCACAAAGAAGGTGGGATGCAATGCACTTCTTGTCCCGGCACAAAAAATCAGTGATTTCCGGACAAAGCTCAGAGATCTCTCCCACTAGGGAAAAACAAAAAAACAAAAGCAGTATTCCATCAATATTTTCATTAGACTTGAAGATTCCTGTTAGGTATTTTATAGATTTCACACTAGTAAGCAAGTTAAGGATTTCAACAGTTGCCTAAGATGGACTTCCCCAACTTCCTCTTTCTCAGTCCCACCTTCAATGGTTCAGCAAGTTATATAGACTCTACTTCTGAAATATCTTTTATGCACTTTGATGGTGCTGAAAATCTCCTTGCCTGTGATTCTCATGGATGAGACACTCAAATTTGTGGCCCACAACTACCTGGAACCTGGTAAAGGGTATGTGCAGCCTGCCACCAAATCCTGCTCATTGTCAGCATGCACTGATGAGATTTCCTGGCCATTTGTGCTGCTCGTAATGCTCCTGGTGATCTGAGTCTATAGCAAAGACACTAATTTTAATGATATGTTCCTGTCTTGACTGAAAATTTTACATAAAGAAGATGTTAACTTTATTGGTTAAAGCAACTGTCTATTTCTGCTGAATTTTCACATAAACATACTGGCTGGTGGAGGTTTCATACTCTAAATTTTATTTTGCTTTTCCTGACTCCCATGGGGCAAAATTTTCCTTTTTTATACACATAATTAAAGTGTCCATTGACAAGTACAGAGAACTAACACTATTTTATGCAAATTTTTTGTAGATGAAAAAGTATGGACAGTGTTTAATACTCATCCTCGTATAAAAAAATAGTCAAGCCAGCAGACATTGTCAGAAAATTAATTGGCAGCAGACTTCAGGAAATGAATGTGTGTTTTTTTCTAAAACTAAATAGCATGTATTGTGTCTTTTGCGTGATGATCTGAATTTAATTTGATATCACAGTCTAATTTTTATTCATAAGCCAATTTTTCTGCACTGAGCAGAGTCCTGCTACCTCAGTTAGTGTTGTTTTGGTTTGCCATTTCCCCCACCCACCTCAGCCTCCCTTCACCGTACCCCCACTCTACCCTCACCCCCATAACCCTGCCCCCCCCCCGCCCCACTTGGCTTCTTCTGTTTACATCAGTTTTAAACAGAGGTATGACTGTTTACATCAGTTTTAACGAGAGGTATGCCTGTACTCGCTTGTGCAGAAAACATTGTTCCAGATTTAATCGACCGGGTTTATGTCCCTTCACATGGTTTTTAAGATTATTTAAATGTCTAATGTATTTTATTGTAACAGACATTGTGTTGCCAACATTGCCTATTTCAGTGGCACATCACAACCTAATTTAGATAGAAAAATCAAACATTTTAAATGGACAAAGGAAAAAAAGATAAAAAGATATTTTTTCTTTCATAACTGACATTGTATTGGTTGAGGATCAGTACAGACATTTCAATATGTACACAATTCCTAAGACATGTACCAAAAATCTAAAAACCTATATATTGTAATTCTTTTTTAAAGTGATTCCAGTGACTTTCCAGCTTAAAATTTGGAAGCAAATTTTCCTTAAGAGGCTATCAAGTACCAGTATCTTCACATGTTGATAAGCTGTTACCTACATCCCACCAATTCACAACTGAATAGCATGTATGCTACATATGCAAATTTTTGACCTTTCACAGCACAGTAACAAAGTTATTAGGAAAATAGGACTATCACAACCAAAGAGGCTACACAGTGCCCACAATTCTGACAGCAGAGCCACGATCAAGGAGTAGTTTTCTTTAGGAAACAATTCTACTACAAAACAACATGGGAATAGAAGTAATTTAAAATGCTAAAGACGTTAGATGCAAGATTGTGACTCCATATTGCCATTGAATATGCTTTGTATTATAGGATATAAAAACTAACCCCCACCGATGCAATGTTAAGCTGACAACCAAGACAGTGAAAGCATCCCATAATTCAATATCCCACACTATTCTCTGGTTGTACCAAAAAATAAACAACCAGCGAATGATTTCACCTCTTAAAAAAAAGCATTTACACTTAAAAAATAGGATGAGATGGGATTCCCTCCTTCTTAAAAATGTTTCTGGAGCTGCTACTAAACAACTTGCATTTACAAAATGGTTGATAAAAATATTCCCCTGGATTGTACAAGAAGGGAGACAGGGACCACTGATAAGACATGGTACATAGTATTAATCAGACTTGGCTACTTTCTCTCCTGCTTCATCAGAGGCTGGACTCTCCTCAGTTTTCCTTTCCCCGTTTTCTGCAGTTAACTCTTCTTTACTTTCGTGGTTAGCCACTTAGGCCTGTTTTCCCTTTGCTCTCCTTTTCCCTTTTGTTTGTGCTTTTTTGTCTTAAGATGTATCCTTCGCTGCTGCCTTTTTCGGCTTCGCCTGCACTTTTGCAGGAGCAGGTTTACCTGACAACAGCGCTGACCTCCTGTTAGGCTTTTCCTGTGGCGGCCCCTTCAGCAGAGCTGACCTTCCTCTTGGGCATTCTGGCTCCGGAAAGGCGCGTGCGCGGTGCCTGGCGCTGCCGCCCCTCCACCCTCCGAGCTGCTGAGACCCCTGGCGGGGGATGGTGGGAGAACCGGATAGAACCGGATTGGGAGCCCGCCTTCTCCTCCGCCCCCGCTAAATTTTTTCAGTACACGGGATCTTAATAACCCATGTAATAACCCAAACTACTTCTTAGAAAATGCAAAGTATTCTTAACAAAAATCCTAACTCTGCAGGAAGGTCATTCATGACATTTGACTTCTTTGCATGGCCACACACCTTTCCATCGTTGTACAGGTGGGGACCGAGGCTGATCATTACCTAGTACATAAATCCAAACCCCCTAATAAAGACATTAAAAATCCTTTGTCCTTGGTTCCAGCTTAGTTTTCCAGTCTCATTTTCTGTGACTCTCAAGTACCTGCAATTGTTCTATATCCTATGACTGAAGGTTTCACAAATCTGTCCCTTGCTCTTCGTTTTTTCATGCATTCACAGATGCTACTTCCTGTCTGCCCTGACTATTCCCTCCAGAGCCCCAGGTGCCCGCTGCCCAAACTTATGATTCAATGAAATGACTTCTCTCTCTCTACTTTTGTCTTGCCTTTCTCACTGCCATCTTTGCCCCAGGTGAGACACTTCTGTTTCATGCCACCTAAGTACCCTTTTATTCCTATACTACAATGAGTATCATCACATATAAGAGCTATTTATACATGGCTGGCTGTCCCCCCAGACTCCAAGCTCCTTAGAACCAGAAGTTCTTATCGTGTTCTCTTGGGCCTCACATAGAACCTGATATATAGTTGGCTCTTTATAAACCTTGGTTATCATAATTTCAGAAACAATGTTTTCATCTAAAGGGGGCTTAGAAAAGTGAATTGACATAGAATTTTTAGAGCAATTCTTATATTTAAATATTATTTCATCAGATATGTAGTCAAATGACAATACTTCACAGATTCATAGTGACTTATATTAAAGGTTTACAATTTTTTTTATCAACTTCAACAAATTAAATAAAATTCAGCAGTTCCTTTGTTACATAGGTGATTATAGGTTCAGAGGTGATGTACCCGAGGTGGAGGTAATTTACTGACAATTAGGCAGTACTTCCACAAATAAAAAGAACACAACTCTACAGACTTGACTAAAAGTGCATATCCAGAGTCTTTGGATTATGCCCATAATACAATAGCTAAAACCTGTATGATATCCAAAAATAATTTACCAGTAAAATTTGGTATATACAAATATGAAGACTGAAGAAAGAACATCTAAGACAACAGCAAATGGTCCAATTATGGGCATTAACAAGACAAAGACTTAAAGGTCATATTTACCAAGTAGTTTAGGAACTTTGCCACAAAATTTTAATTAACACTAGCGAGAATTTACAGTTAACCCTAGGGCAGTATGTGGACATTTTTTCCATATGCAAGTCTATGCATTTGAGATTATTTTATTTTTCCATGCCATAGGATGTAAAGCCATATAATTACTCCACAGGGGAAATGTGCTTTGATGTCACTCTAAATAGTTGGTTCTTTGGCTTTTATAAAAAAAAAAAAAAAAAAGTTAAAATAGGCTACATCTCTAAATAAGGGTTATTTTCTTTCAAAATATAGAATAGCAAAGCCATGAAGAGAAATAAAGTGATGCTCTGAACTGCAGTAAACTGAACAATGACTAGAATATCTATGAAATATTAGGTGTCCAAAGAAAAATAAACAAATAAAAAACAGCCTCACGTATATTTTTTAAGAATACAGCAAATTGAAAAGATAGATTTTTTTAATGAAAGACTGTTTTGCATGTGTTTAGCCATTTTATATTTTTTATTCAGCCAAAATGGTAATGATAAAGGCAAAAACTATTCACCTGGTTGTCAAATACATGAAATGAAAGATATCTCACATATTCTATATTTGATGATAAAAGAATGGATGGAACATTGGTGCTCACAATAAAAGTTGAAAATAACCTGGCCAGCAGATTATGGCATATGAAAAAACTAGAATATTTATTTTGCTAGTAAAAGACTGACAAACAGAGATGTAAAGACCTAACTAAAGCATGAGAAACTGAAAGATCCTATGAAGGCCGTGGAAAATAATGCAGCCATAAGAAAAGAAAATTTAATCCAGTAAGAACATAAGGTTTATATAGGACTAATCTACTGTAGATTTAAACAAACTCTCACCAACATGAAAGTGACATCAATTGAAAACTAGTTTCATTTTACTTTGAAACAGAGCTTACAAATCCTCGATCCTATAAATTTCAATTTGGATTAAAATCGTTTTGTACACAGAGTTCATTACACTGAACCAGATATAATCATTATATAGATAATATTTATGAAGAAACACTTGTTGTTTTATTACTTTCTTAAGCTGATGACATTCAATATGCTCTGAGATTCCAGACGGCAAGTTTCATATGGACATGCATTTCTAAGTACCTTTGTTTTTCATGTAACCACATGAAGAATATTAAAACGGGCGTAATCCCTGCTTTTGAAGACCATGGTATTTAGTTGACAAAACCACATATTCAGCTTTGGAATCAACTGAAAAGAAACAATTAGGGTTTCTAAGGCTGCTATATATGTATGGAAGACCTAGTGAAATTCCAAGTACAAGAGAACTTTCCCATGGAATACAGTGAGTCAGGAAACATATCTAAGAAAAGTCCTAAGCAAGTAAACATCTAGATGCATTGAAGGCATGAAAGGAGCTTAGACCACAACAAAGAATTTTAACTATCAAAGACTCAAAGATGTTCATGAGTGAGCAGGAGTTAAAAAAAACTGATCAGACTTACAAAGGTATGTTGGTCTGTGAAGTATTGGAGAAACTACGTCTTTTGGTTCTGAAAATGCAGATTGACATTTGATTTAATGTGATAAGTAAATGGAAACCTCTGAGCTTTTAAAACATATTTTATTATAGTAAGAGTTTAAATACATAATAATGTAGAAAAAAACAATCTCTCCTTCTTTACACAATGTCTTTAACATTTTGTCGCATTTTTCTTTTTAAATTTTTTTGTAACTAGGTTAAATACTTGTAATCATAACATATACACAATATTTTCTCTACCTTTATATTTATCATATCATAAATATTTTGTCTGATTTTCACAGTAATCACTAATATCTATAAAATATAATGAAAACTGAATATACCCCTAATTTAGTTAATAATTCCATTATTATTCATCATAGAGTTGTTTCAGTATTTTACATTTAAACAAAACTATGTTTAGCTTCTTCATAATTGGAAGTAGTTATGTAAGACAGACTCCTAACATGCCATTATTGGGTATAAAAATGTATCGATGGATTTGTCTCTTTTAGGGCTTTTGATATCTATCAATAAAATTAATTGCTTTTTTAAAAAGCTACACTGATCTATTTTATTATTATTACTATTTTTTTTTTTTTAATTGAGACGGAGTCTTGCTCTGTCGCCCAGGCTGGAGTGCAGTGGCGCGATCTGGGCTCACTGCAAGGTCCGCCTCCTTGGTTCATGCCATTCTCCTGCCTCAGCCTCCCCAGTAGCTGGGACTACAGGTGCCCGCCACCACGCCCGGCTAATTTTTTGTATTTTTAGTAGAGACGGGGTTTCACCCTATTAGCCAGAATGGTCTCGATCTCCTGACCTTGTGATCTGCCTGCCTTGGCCTCCCAAAGTGCTGGGATTACAGGCGTGAGCCACCGTGCCCGGCCTTCTTTATTATTTTAAAAATATTTTTAATTTTCATAAGTTTAGGGGTGGAAATGGTTTTGGTTATATGATGAATTGTACAGCGATAAAGTCTAGGCTTTTACTGCAACTATAATACAAATAGAGTACATACATTACACTCATCAGATAGTTTTTCATCCCTCGAACTACTCTCTCAGCCTCCCTCTTTCTGAGTTTCCAATGTTCTTTATGCCACTCTGTATGCCACTCCATATATCCATAGCTTAGCTCCAACTTTTAAGTGAGAACATGCAGTATTTGGTTTTCCATTCCTGAGTTACTTCACTTAGGACAGTGGCTTTCAGTTCCATCCAAGTTGCTGCAAAAGACCTTATTTCATTATTTTGTATGGCTGAGTAGTATTTCATGGTGTATATATACCACATTTTCCTTATCCACTCATGGGTTGCTGAGCTCTTAGGTTGATTCCATATCTTTGCAATTGTGAATTGTGCTGTTGATAAACATACACATGGAGGTACCTTTTGTAAATAATGCCTACTTTTCCTTTGGGTAGATACCCAGTAATGGGATTGCTGGATCAAATGGTACATCTACCTTTAGTACTTTAAGAAATCTCCACATTGTTTTCCATAGAGGTTGTATTAGTTTACATTTCCATCAGTGGTGTATAAATGTTCCCTTTTAACAATATCTGTGCCAACATATATTATTATGCTTTTAAAAAGTATTTTCAAATGTTTCCAGTGAGTGGGAAGCATATTATATGGTTTCATTAATTTTTCTGTAGTCCAATTTGTAATATAAAATTAATCTTTTAAAAAACTGTTGCTATTTTGTTATGAATTATAAAAATAACAAGAAAACCCCATAAATCAATTTTCTGCAAATAATACTCCTTATTTAAGATGAGCTTTATGCTAATTGCATATTGTCTAATAGTAAATTTATTCTTTAAAAAAACTGAAAACTGACACATGCACTCTCTTTTTCATGTTCACATACAAGTAAATATGTATGAACATCTGGGTGCATTAATTAAAACAGAAATATTAAAATGCATTTTAGTAGCTAGAAAACTTTTCTTATTTTTATAATTTCAATTTTATTTTAGATTCACAGGGCACATGGCACAGGTTTGTCTCATGGATATATTGTGTGATGCTGAGATTTGAGATACAAATAATCCTGTCACCTAGGTAGTGAGCTTGTCACAAAAGTTAGCATGTCAATCTTTGCCCTCCTCCCTCTCTTCTCTTGTCAGTAGTTCCCAGTGTTTATTGTTGCCATCTTTATGTCCATGAGCACCCAAGGTTTAGGCCTCATGTTAAGTGAGAAGATGTGGTATTTGGTTTTCTGTTCCTGTGTTAATTCACTTAGAATAATGGCCTTCAGCTACATCCATGTTGCTGCAAAGGATATATCATTCCTTTTTATGGCTGTGTAGTATTCCATAGTGTATAATATGTACATTTTCTTTATTCAATCCACTGTTGATGGGCACCTAGGTTGATTCCATGTCCTTGCTATTGAGAATGGTGCTATGAAGAGCATATGCATTCATGCATCTTTTTTTTAGTAGAAATATTTCTTTTCTTTTGAATATATATCCAGTAATGGGATTGCTGAGTTGAATGTTAGTTCTAAGTTCTTTGAGAAATCTCCAAACTGCTTTCTACAGTGGCTGAGCAAATTTATATTTCCACCAGCAGTGTATAAGCATTACCTCACCAGCATCTGTTATTTTTTGGCTTTCTAATAGTAACCATTCTGACTGATGTGAAATGGTATCTCATTGTGGCTTTAATTTGCATTTCTCTGAAGACTGGTGATGTGGAACATTTTTCATGTTCGTTGACCATATGTATGTCTTCTTTTGAGAAGTGTCTGTTCACGTCCTTTGCCCACTTTTTAATGGGTTTTTTTGCTTATCAACTTCAGTTGCTTATAGATTCTGAATATTAGACCTTTGTTGCATGCACAGTATGAATGTTTTCTGTCATTCTGTAAATTGTCCGTTGACTCTGTTGATAGTTTCTTTTGCTGTGCAGAAGCTCTTTAATTAGGCTCCATTTGTCAATTTCTGTTTTTGTTGCAATTGCTTTTGAGGACTTAGTCATAAATTATTTCCCAAGGTCAGTGTCAAAAATGGTGTTTCCTAGGTTTTTTTTTTTTCTAGGATTCTTATAGTTTCAGGTCTTCCATTAAATCTTTAATCCATTTTGAGTTAATTTTTGTAAAATGTGTGTGGCCTTATTTTTGGGTTCTGTTCCATTGGTCTATGTGTCTATTTTTTGTACCAGTACCATGCTGTTTTGGTTAATGTAGCCTTATAATACAGTTTGAAGTCATGTAATGTGATGACTCTAGCTTTGTTCTTTGTGCTCAGGATTACTCTGGCTATTTGGGCTCTTTTATGGTTCCATATGGATTTTAGGATAGTGTTTTCTAATTTTGTGAAAAATGATATTAATTTTTTGATAGGAATAGCATTGAATCTGCTGACTGATTTGGGCAGTATGGCCATTTTAATGATACTGATTCTTCCAACCCATGAACATGGAATGTTTTTACATTTTTTGTGTTATGTTATTTATAATTACTTTCAGAAGGATTTTATAGTTCTTCTTGCAGATATCTTTCACCTCCTTGGTTAGATGTATTCCTAAGTATTTTTTGCTTTGTGTGTATGTGTGTGTGTGTGTGTGTGTGTGTGTGTGTGTGTGTGTAGCTATTGTAAATGGGATTGTGCTCTTTACTTAGGTCTCAGCTTGAACCTTATTAGTGTATAGAAATGCTACTATTTTTTGCACATTGTTGTGGATCAGTTACAGGGGCCTTCTGGAAGAGTCTTTTGGGCTTTCTCAGTATAGAATCCTATCATAAGCGAAGAGAGATAGTTTGACTTCTTACCCTATTTGGATGCCTTTTATTTCTTTCTCTTCCCTCATTGCTCTGGCTAGGACTCCCAGAAAATTTTCTAATAAAACTGGTTTTTTGTTTGACTTTTTTTTAGCTTTTTAATACATGAATTTTCCTTGTCATCTATCTTTTTTAACTTGTTGATAAATTATCTTTGGACAGTTTTTATGGTAGGCATGTTTCAAAAGTTTTTAATTTGCAAGCAAAAGTTAACCCCTAGTTAGACCTGGTAATTCTGGAGAGTAAACACTGATTGCTATTGAGCAGTGCAAATATGTAGACCAAGATAATGATTTGAACCCCAGTTCTTATAAAAGTTGTAATCTTTGATAAGTCATTTAATGTGATTTCTAAACGAGAATAATAAGAATAATCACTTTCTCATACAAAGTACAGTGTGTTTACATCTAGTGATGCCAACAATTTAGAACCTTCCATTTATTCATGCCAGAAACATGTATTGAGCAACTATCAGACACGATGGAAAATATTGAGATAGCTCTCACCTTCGAGGAATTTATGATCCAGTGATGAAAAGTTATTAGTAAAACAGTATATTTAGTGCTATAATTGAATATATTTATGAATTGCTATCAGAAGACAATAAAAGCAGCCCCAGCTTGTACTGGCGTGTTAATATAAATTGTTGATGACCTTTCGAATTACCTACCATGCTAGCTGGTCATTTAACCAAGTAGAATAATAGGCCAGACACTCAATAGAAAGGGATCAATTCCTTTTTGAGTTTCCTTATTTATAAAATTCCATTCTTCTCAGTTTCCTTATCAAGCAAGTTTGGCAACCTATTACAAATAAATATGACTAGAAGATTCATATTTACATAAAGGAAGAACAACATCTGAGAAAATAAAGGGGACATATAATTTGGGAAGATTATGCACCCAAATGTCTCTTCACAGATGAACTACTTATTTCACTTGGTTGCTCTCTTATTCTAGAAGGAACTATCAGAGGCAAGTTTGCAAATAAAAGGACATCTCAGCACTGCCAATGATTTGATATTACATGACCAGTATTTTCAAATATCTAGAACATACACATAATAGAATATTTTCGATTCACCATGATAATTTAAGTCTATCTTAAGTTCAAAAGAATTAGGTTTAAAGGTCAATGCACATATCAGGCAATTAATAGCAACACGTCTGAAACTGTAACCTTAGTGATCTCAGTGACAGCAAACTTCAGTTTGCATCAAAATTATCAGAGGTGTTATCAGAGTTACTGGACCATGTATTAGTGCACAGAAACAGTTTAGAAAAATATTTTAAAATGTGATTTCACTGGCAATACACAGAGGCAAGGTGCATGCTGAAAGGAGTATTTCCTGAAGTTTGAATTTTCATATTTTAAATAAAAAGATGACTTCATAAACTGTATGTATACTTGGTTGAAAGAAAAGTATATATATATACCAAGCTCTCTTTTCTGACATGAAACTCATTTTATCTTTAATATTTTGTGCATGGATATATTTTAAATATTCAGTTTTTTAAAATGAATTCTTCATATAATTTTAGAACAATTGATTGCTGAACCCTAGGTTATGCCTACTTCAAATCACTGGTTTACAGTTTCAGACCCAATCCCCCCCAACCGCCAAAAAAAAGCCTGTTTAGAAGGCCTAGAAAGAAGGAAGAAGAGATAACAAGAAATTAAAGCAACACAAGAACAAAAACTCAGAACTGGTACACCCGACAAGGACCACTATGGTCTCATGCAACAAGAAGCATTTTCAGTGCTTCAGTGATTCAGAAGTCATCACTCACTCCTTGCCTCTTAGCAATTTCTACTACTGCACTAAAAGAACCCTTGCATAGATATCTAATGATGTCCTAATTACCATTTTAAAATAAATGTCAACCCCTCCCATTCTGGATTTACTGCTACTGCTGATATGCCGAAAATGCCTTCCACTTTGAAACGTCAATTCCTTAAGCTCTTTGGCATGATATTCCTGGCACCCTGTCAATGTCTCAACCTTCCTTCTCCTCTCTTGGTTCCTTTTCCAGTCCAGACTTTCAACTGCTAGAAAAACAAACTGTGACTCCAACTCATTTTCCTTGGTAGTCCCACTTGATTTTAACTGCTATCTGGAGGCTGATGGCCCCATGTCTACAACCACAACCTGTTCCTTTTGCTGAGATCTAAACACTTATTGTACATTTTCTGTGAGATTTCTCCGCAACATATCAGACACACTAAACAGGATTAAAAATTCACACACTAGCTTCTTTCTTTGCCTCCTAGTTTATCATTCTCTACTCCTGACTCATGAGCAATCTCACGATAAGCATCCATGTGTGGTCCGGAGATGCACACCATCTTCTTTCACGCACTTGTCCCTCCTCAGCCACATGGTGGAGAAGGATGGCTATTTTGGGTCCTGTGGTCACGTTTCTATAGCACATGCTTGTTTCTGGGCTGTGGCTGCTCACACAGGCACTTTATCAGCTCCTTTTGCTACTAGGTAAGATCATGAGGCTGAGTTCTAACCCATGGAATGTGAGTAGAAGTAATGTGCACACATCCAGGTGAGTCCATACAGACTTCCCCACACTTTCCCCCATGTTCTGTACCTCTCCACGTGGATGGAAAAGTCATGATCAGTGGGATAGACCTTGAAGGCCAGGGATTGAAGGCCTGGGTCCCTGAGTAAATTCAATAGAAAAGCCGCCCCACCAATCTGTTTACATGACAGCTGCTGTAAAATGGATAGGAGATAAACTTCCTGGATTATGTTTTTTTGGGATCTATTTTGTTATAGCAGTAGCCTGATATGAAAAGGATGTGATGATGATGATGGTGACACTAGCACTTATGGCGAATTTATACGTGCCTCATTCAATTTAAGCACATTACATATTAATATATTAACTCATGTAATTCTCAAAACAGCTTCGTGAAGCAGGTACTACAATTCTTATGTCACTTACCTAATTTCATGTAGTTACTTAATAGCCAAGCCAGAATACATGCTTTGGCACCACAGTCTTTACCCTTAGCCAACAAAATCCATACGTTCTCTCATCCGACTCAAATATGGATTCCTATAACTCACACCTTAGGTGCTGTTCCTTCCACGAAGAATTATCTGACGTGCCTCAGACCCATCTATCCATCTGGCTCTCCTGGGGCTCCAGATATCCTAATTATAGCACACGATATTGAAATGCTATACAATGGTGCATTTCCTATTTGATTTCTTTACTCTGTAACAGATAAACTAAACTTGCCCATTCTGAAAGAAAATGAAGAATCCTTAAAGGAAGAAACTGTATTATAATCATCACTATATACTCAATACTAGCACAAAACCTAGATATCTTTTGAGTGATCAAATAGTATTTCATGGAACTGTGTTTAAATTTGGTAAAATTGCTTGGGCTGGCTTCACCATTGCAGTGAGAATAGGTGGCTATTTGAAACACCAAATACATTCTAAACATGCTATTTGTACTAGGCTAATTCCTACATTCAATGAATTTAAAATACTTTGGGTAAAATGATTCTTAGAATATTTTACAGTTAAGAATGGTTGCTAAAAAGGCTCTCAACCATTGAAAATCATTCAGAGGATAAATAGCCTGTGTGATAATTATTGTCATTGCCCAAGATAATTTCTGAAATGTGATGTGTTTGGTGACTTTGATACTCTATATAAACACAGCTAACAAAGTAATTTACTGGTTGTTACATAGACAAGGAGGCCCATGGTACGTGATGAAATGAGGCAGAAAGCAAAGGTAAACAAACCAGAATTGGGTCAAAGCAATAAGGAGTATTGAAATAATAAATGCTCTTTTTGAGAAAGGTGAACTTAGTACGAGATATAAAATTGCAAGGAAAGAAAAGAAATTAGACTAGGAAACTGTAATCCTCATTAAAAAGGGACCCTTCTTTAAGGGTACCTTTTCACGTGCTGAATTTTAACTCTAACTTGAAGAAACCATGATTGATGAGATACGTTGTGTGTTTAGTCTTAATTAATATTTTCTAATTGCTATATTGAGAGGGGAGTGCACAGATTGCTCCTAGCTCATCTCCACTCTACTGAAGGTGAGGTGTAAAATGAAATTTTTACAATAAAGCATCGACGTCATATACATCTGATAGGGAATGGCAAAAGGAAGCAGGTTCAACTGAGCATCTTACTTTTGTCTTGGGAGATGATTATTTCCTTTGTTCAGATAGCTTTTGCTTAGGATTTGCATTGAAGCATTCGCTTATCTGTTCAAAACAATAATGCGCAGTAAGGATATGTGTTTAATTGGCTATACTGTGTGATAGAGTTGATTTATTTTGATGGAGTTTGAAAATGTTAGGGCCAGAGAGTCCTTGGTAAGATTTCCCTTTTAATAAAAGCAGCCCCCGAATCATTTCTTTTCCAACAAAGAGCAGCCTGTAAAATTCAGCTGCAGACACAGAAAGGGAAACTAGAAGCTTGCACAGGCGAATGCCGGCAACTGTGCCAGTAGAAAAGGGTTACTTGGGAGCCAGGCATGTTCAACATGGCAGCTCCAACTTCCCTTTTGTCAACCATGTGTACAATAATGAACAGACAACATGGTGAAGGCCAGTTAGAGACTCCATCTGCATAATAAAAGATTACGGTGGGATGACCAGCTTCTTCATGTGCTATGCAAATGTCACACCTGGTCCGACCAATCTCTTGGGCCCTGTGTAAATCAGACACTGCCTCCTCAAGCTTATCTATGAAATCTGGTGCATTTCATCACAAAACTAGAAGTCCCACTTGGGAGCCCCTCTCTCTCTGCAAGAAAGAGCGCTATTCTTTTTTCTCCTTCTTTCGCCTATTAAACCTCCACCCTTAAACTCACTTCTTGTGTGTCTGCATCCACAATTTCTCTGGCATGAGACAATGAACCCCAGGTGTTTGCCCCAGACAATGATGCCACTTCATGACCAAGCAAGTCAACAATTATTGTGTTTATTTATTTATTTATTTATTTATTTATTTCCAACTACTCTAGAGTAGCAGAATAGTCACTCAACTGAGAGCTAACAGGCCTTATTTCTATTTTCCCATTTGTAAAATCCCCCAAGTAACTTTGAATGATATCATTCAATTACTTTGGATCTTTAAAATGTTATGGAGTTTTGAATATTATCTTGAAGATACTTAGTTAATTCATTGACAATTTTCTTGTTGCCTTTAAAATATATAAATACAAGTATAAAAATTTCTATAACAAGTCATATAAAAGTATCATTTTCAGCTGTGCAATAATATATTCCTTTTATGAGGTAAAATATAAGATTAAAATTCTATTAATATTGTTGAGCACTAAGAGGTTAAAACGTATTCTTGTAGTGCATTTCAAGCCGCAGGCATTCCCATCTCTGAATGTATGTTTCCACTGGAATGAAAAAATCAAGAATTATATAGAGCTAAGAGTTTACTACCATTGATCCTAAAAAATGAGATGTTGGAATACCTGGAAAAAATGAAAACATTAGTGTTTTTCAGTAGAAAATATTTTTTTTAATTTGACAAAGAAGTTAGGTTAATGAGATGGAGAGTTTGGAAGCGTATGTTGAAATATAGAGATGTATTTCTGAAGTGTACATACCTCCACGAAAGACTCACGAATCTTCTATGTTCATTGTGTGAGAACATGTCATATGAATAAAAAACATAATTAGAGTGTTGTAAAATAAGTGCTATTATGTGCAGCCTGGAATGGTGTCCAAAGTAAACACAAAATGAATGTATATCCTGGTTCGAGATGACCGCTCAGGCTATGGTTGTAGATCCACCTCTAACCTATTCACATACAAATACCTCAAATCCATAGTCATTGCTTAGCCACCCCACCAGCCTGGGGTAAGCACACCAGCAAGGCAGTTCATCTGAAAGAGGACAGAGCTGGGGAAGAGGCCTACAAAGACCTCTGAAGTAGATTATGGACCACAGAAACCTGAGATCCTGGATCTGGAACAGGGAGTATGTCTCTCAGTGGGCATGTCTTCTTAGCTGGACACACCCCTTGCCAAGTGAGGAAGGGTGTAGCTCAGAGAGGGACAGAAAAGAGCCCTCAAATACTCATTATTCTGGGTCTCAAGATGGTATTATATGGCTTATTGACCTAAGGATAGACAACTGATCAAAGACAGAATAACAGGACTATTCCATTTGGGACTGAATGCTGTACTAAAACACGTAGAGATGCCAAGTTTGGTGTGGACAGGCATCTAGTGGGCAGCTCATTGGAGCACATTTCCGTAAACACCTACTGCTGAGATCCTTGGACCTTACTCTCCCCAAGGATGGCTTCCACAATTGTTTCTTCACTTTTCCGACCCATCATCCCCCAATCTTTGGCAAAAATGCCCTTGATTTATTTAAGGTATGTGCACTAAAAAGAATATTAACTATTAATTGCATCTATTATTGCTCTTTTTAGGTCCCACTGTAAAAGTGAGGAGAGGAGCGGCAACAATAATCACTGATGTGTGTAATAAAAGGAAAACAATCCCACGTTCAAGGAAATATAACTTTCCCAAACATGAGGTTTTAGAATCTCTTTGATTTTGATAACATTAATGTGCTTTAATGAAGAATAAGAGATTTTGAGAAGCTGAGCAATCAGATTGAGACCTTTTAATTAGCCTTTCTTGTCTATTATTGACATAGAAAGGTCACTGCAGAACACAGTTACATAATGTTCAATTTATGTGCAAATTTCAGGGTCAATGAACAAGTTATGTTTTTCTGCATAAAATGAATACAAACAAGTCTAATCACAGCCTAATATTGTCTTTGACCCTTTCCATTGAACTTGCTTAGATTTAGGGAATGTATAACAATTTAATCTCTACTATATTTTTGACATAGTATTTCAATCATGCCTTCAGAATTCAATAGGTTTGCTGTGAACTGAGGATTATTATTGACACTGGGACTCAAGATTAATATTTTTACCTTATATTCTTTATTTTGTAATTGTTAACAAAGCTACAAAAAAGAAAATTTAAAGAAAGTTTATTATTATTATTTTTTGAGACGGAGTCTTACTCTGTCGCCCAGGCTGGAATGCAGTGATGCAATCTCAGCTCACTGCAAGCTCCGCCTCCTGGGTTCACACCATTCTCCTGCCTCAGCCTCCAGAGTAGCTGGGACTACAGGCGCCCACCACCACGCCTGGCTAATTTTTTGTATTTTTAGTAGAGACGGGGTTTCGCTGTGTTAGCCAGCATGGTCTCGATCTCCTGACCTCGTGATCCGCCCGCCTCGGCCTCCCAAAGTGCTGGGATTACAGGCGTGAGCCACTGCGCCCGGCCAGAAAGTTTAAAATGTTTTTAAATGAAATCTTAAAATCCTTCAGCAAAATCTGCCACAACTGTGTGATTTGGTTAAATTTAACAAATCTTTCTGAGCCTCATATTTCTCATGTGATAAATAGGGATATTGAACTTCCTATATGAAGCGGTACGTAAACATTTAATGAACTAATGAATGCAAAATTTTCAGTACTTGTTTGGCATTTAATAAATGTTATATAACATTCATTTTTCTAGGTTTTTTTTCCTCCTTGATTCTTAATTTCCTGCCCTGTTACACCCTTAGTTCTATAAAATGGGTTCTAGTAAGATTTTGCCAAGATAAAATAAAATATATAAAGTTGACAAAACAGTTCTTGATTTATAGGAAATGTTGAAAGTTCTAATTTTTTTTGTTGTTGTTTTCATCCTTGGCCAGCATTCTTTTAAGAACAAAATGCTTCTTTGAGAAAACATAAATAATACTTTATATTATCATTTACTTTCTAAATAAAGTTATAAAATAATATTAGCAGATGTTATTAAAATTGATAACTTACAATGGGCTTATTCCTTGTAATGACACCAGGGAACAACATTAGTTGGTGAATGAAAAGGATGGCAGAAGACATTGTTCAACAGACTGTGTCGAAATGTATAGTAGATTAAAAAGAAAAGCTATGCCTTAGAGCAAAGAATATTTTGTTACTAATGAGATTATAGCAAACAAAGACTTGACTATTTGATAAAGAGATTTTTAAAACTTGGACACTTTTACTCAAATCTCTTTGGATGTACATTGGAAATAGGATAAATTTACAAATGTTTCTATATTTATAACTGTATATGTACTTATATTTTCTTATTAGCTGCTCAATGACAAAGCAGAAGAGTGATCCTACTCTTCACATTCATCTCTTTACTCATTTAAAAAAAATGACTGCTTAAAACTTGACAAAAGCAATAATAAAAAAATAACCTGACTAATGAATGGGCAAAGGACTTAAGTAGGTATTTCTCCAAAGAACATACACAAATGTCCAATAAGCACATGAAACGATGTTCAACATCATTAATCATTAGGGAAATACAAATGAAAACCAAAACTAGATACCATCTTACACTCATGGGAATGACTACTACGAAAAAAACAAAACAAAACAGAAAATATGTGTGTTGGTGAAGATGTGGAGAAAATGGAACCCTCGTGTACTTTTGGTGGGATTGTAAAATGATAGAGCTGCTATGGAAAAGAATGTGGTGGTTCTTACAAAAATTACAAATAGAATTACCATATAATCAAACTGTTCCACTTCTGGCTTATATTGAAAGGAACTGAAAGCAGGGACTTGAGCAGGTATTTGTGCACTAATGTCATAGCAGCATTTTTCACAATAGTCAAAAGGCAAAAGTAATCCAAGTGTCCATTAACAGATAAACAAAATGTGGTATATGCATACAATAGAACATTATTCTGCCTGAAAAAAACAAGTTTTCATGGAAGTTTTGACACAGGCTACAACAGAATAAGCTTTGAGGACATTATGCTAAATGAAATAAACCAGTCACAAATGGGCAAATACTGTATGATTCCACTCATGTGTGGCACCCAGAGTAGAAAAATTCACAGAGACAGAAAGTAAAATGGTAGACATCAGGGGCTGGGGAAGGAGAAAATGATGCGTTATTGTCAACAGGTACAGAATTTCAGTTTTGCAAGATGGAAATTCTGGAGATGGATGATGGTGATGGTTGAACAATGTAAATGTACTTAAGGCTACTGAACTGTAGGCCTAACAATGATTAAGATGGTAGTTTTATGTTCTATATATTTTACCACAATTTTTAAATACTTTTTTAAAAATTACCTATTTATTTGCTTGTTGTCTGTAGTATGCCAGGCACTGTTATAGGAGCAGGGTATACGTCATAACCTCACTTTATCCTCAAAATTTAAGTTGAAAAATTTCACATTTAAGAAATGTGAAAGCTTGTTCATAACCTCAATTTATCCTCAAAATTTAAGTTGAGGATAAAGTGAGGTTATGAACAAGCTTTCACATTTCTTATATATGAACAAGCTTTGGATGCCAAAAATGTTTAGCTTCAGTTTCCGTTGAGTGTGGAATATTGTCATTGGAATGGCAAATATTATTGTCTAGGATATTAAAATTGCATATTTAAAAAATATATGCGAAGGATATGAGATAAATTCATATTTATCAATGATTATATTTAGAAGTCAGAAAATCATGATTAGAACAGAAATAAATGATACAGGGAATGAGACAAAAATTAAAAAGATAAAAAAACTACAAGTTTGTTTTTTGAAAAAACATAAAAAATTGATAAACCTTTAGCTAGACTTAGAAAGGCCAGATAACAACATAAATAATATTATAAATGACATTACCACTGTTACCACAGAGATACAAAGGATCATATGATACTACTATTAACAATTGTATTCTAACAACTTTGATAACTTAAAAGAAATAGATAAATTCCTAGTAACATACCTTCTACCAAGACTGAATCATGAAGAAAGAGAAAACCTGAACAGACCAATAATGAGTAAAGAGATTGAATCAGTCATCAAAAACTCTCAACAAAGAAAAGCCCAGGACTGGATTGCTTGACTGGTGAATTTTACCAAATTCTTCTTTTAAAAAAGATTGATGACAATCCTTCTCAAACTTTCACAAATAACTGAAGAGGAGGAAATACTTCCAAGTTCATTTACGAGACCTCCATCACTCTGATATCAAAGCCAGACAAAAACACTACAAGAAAAGAAAATACAGGCAAATATTCCTGATAAACATCCATGCAAAATCCTCAGCAAAGCTCTAGCAAACAGAACTCAACAGCACACTGAAAGGATCATATACCCTGATCAAGTGTGATTTATTCATGAGATTCAAAGTTGGTTCAACGTAGGTAAATCAAGAAATGTGGTACACCACATTAACTGATGAAGGATAAAAATCATACAGTCATTTCAATAGATGGAGAAAAAGCATTTGACAAATTTCAACATCTTATGATGAAACTTGTCAACAAATTTAGGTATAGAAGGAATTAACTCAACATAATAAAAGCCATATGTGAAAGCTCAATGGTGAAAAAGAAAAATGTTTTTCCTCTAAGATCAGGAACAAAGCAAGAATGCCCACTCTTACCACTTTTATTTAAAACAGTACTGCAAGTCCTTGCCAGGGAAAATAGATAAGAAAAGGAAATAAAAGTCATCCAAATTTGAAAGAAAAAGTAAAGTTGTCTCTGTTTGTAGATGACATGATCTTATATATAGAAAACTCTGAAGAATCCACAAAGAAAACCCTGTTAGAATTATTAAACAAATTTTGTAAAGTTGCAGGATGCAAAAATCAACTTGCAAAAATCAGTAGTGTTTCTTCATGATAAAAATAAACTATATGAAAAAGAAATTAGGCAAACAAACCCATCTATGAAAGAATCAAAAAAAAAAATTAAGCAGAGGTGAAATATATGCATACTGAAAAGTAAAAAAAAAAAAAAAATCCTGAGAAAAATAGGAAAAGGGACAAATAACTGGGAAGAAATCCCATGTTCATGAATTGAAACATTAATATTGTTAAAATGTCTATACTACCCAAAGTGATCCACACATTCAGTGCAATCCACATCCAAATTCTAAGTCGTTTTCCACAGAAATAGAAAAAAAAGTCCTAAAATTCATATCGAATTACAAAATACCCTGATTAGACAAAGCAACCTCAAGCAAGAAAAATAAAGCCAAAGGCATCATATTTCCTGATTTCAAAACATATTACAAAGCCACAGTAATGAAAACAGTGTGGATACTGGCATTAAAACCAGACCCATAGACCAATGGAACATAATCAAGAGCCCAGAAATAAGCCCATACATGTAGGACTAACTAATTTTGGACAAGGGTGCCAAGAATACATAATGAAAAAAGAATAATCTCTCCAGCAAATGGTACTGGGAAAACTGAATACCCACATGCACAAGAATGCAACTGAACATTTATCTTACAAACAAAAAAATCAACTCAAATGGATTAAAATGAAATAAGACCCCAAATGGCAAAACTCCTAAAAAAAAGATAGGGGAAAATTTCCTTGACATTGATCTTGGCAATAAATTTTTGGATGTCAACCCCTAACGTAAGGCAACAAAAACAAAAATAAACAAGTAAGACTACATCAAACTGAAAAGCTTCTGCATAGTAAAGGAAGCAATCAACACAGTGAAAAGGCAGCCTACGCGACCCAAGAAAGTATTAGGAGAAAATATTTGTGAATCATATATCTGATAAGGGACTAATATCCAAAATATATAAGTAGCTCATACAACAGAAAAAAAATAATAATTAACTTGCAAAAATTGCCAAAGACCCTGAATGGACATTTTCCCAAAAAAGACATAACAAATGGACAACAGGTATATGAAAACATGGACAATATCACTAATCATTAGAGAAATACAAATCAAAACCTCCATGAGCTATCTCCACACACCTCTTGGGATGGCTATTGTTTTGAAAAATAAAAGGGGAGAATGTGGAGAAAAGGAAACCATTGCACACTGTTGGTGAAAATGTAAGTTGGTACAACCATACAGAAAACAGTAGAGAGTTTCCTTAAAAAATTAAAAATAAAACTATCATAATAAACTGACAATTCTACTTCTGGGTATATATCCCAAAGGAATTGAAATTAATATCTCAAAGAGATATTTACACCTGGTATCGTAATTGCAGCATTATAACCAAGATATGGAAACAACCTAAATGTCCATGGATGGATGAATGCATAAAGAAAATGTGGTATACACACGCAATGGAATATTATTCAACCTTGAAAAATGAAGGGAATCCTGACATTTGGGACAACATGGGTGACTCTGGAAGGTATTAGCTAAGTGAAATATGCCAGACACAGAAAGATAAATATGACATGACTTTAGTTATATGTGGAATCTTCTTTTAGATTCACAGAAGCATAGAATGGTGATTGCCAGAGTCTGGTGGAAGGGGGAAATGTGGAGGTAATGTTTAAGGGGTACAAAGGTTCAGTTATGCAAGATAAATAAGTTCTGGAGTTGCCCTATATTGTATAGTGCCTCCAGATAACAACACTATATTGAATATTTAAAATTTGCTAAGAAGGTAGACCTTATGTTTAGTGTTTTTACCATAAAAAGTCCAATAAAGGGGATGGGAGGAAACTTTGGGATGTGTGGTATATGTCTATGGCCTTGACAATGGTGACTTTTTTCATGAGTGTATACTTATCCCCAAACACATTGAGTTGTATACACTAAATAGAGCTTTTTATATGGCAATCACACTTGAATAAAGTTTTCTGGAAAGAAAGCGAATAACAATTTTTGATTATGCAACACTGATTTTTGGCATGTAACTTACTTTTGGCATGTAACCCAGTTCAAACACCTGCAGGACAATGCAATAGCAAAACTCCAATCTTAGCAAACATCCCAATTCTGTGTGGATGAGGTTTCTTATTACTTACTTCCATAAAAGCAAAAATTAGAAACAAAATGGAATTCTTACTTATTTTAGGAATATTCATCCATGATTACATAAAGTAATTGATAAAATGAATGAGTCACAGCTCTGTGCTTAGTGAAGAATCTCAAACACACATCGCTCAGAAAAGAGCAAGCATACAATTTTGTTGTGTGACTATCTACATAAAGGACAAAAAGTGGCAAAATTAAATAGCATTATTTAGCAATACAATCAGCTGTGCTAAAACTAAAAAAGTCAAGAAGATCATTATCATAAAAGACATGGTAGTGACTTCCTCTAGCAGAAGAGAAAAGTATGTAATTCGACAAGAACACATAAAAAATTTCCCAAAGACAGGTAATATGCTTACTTTGTGTGGAGTAACTAAGGGGAACATCTTATTTTATTATTAAGCTGAAAGCGTATATTAAAAATACTCTTTTATGTGTATAATAAGGGTTCACATTACTGTCTTCACCTTAGAATAATTTGAAGCTTTAAAAAGTATGGCTTCCAGGACCCCATACCCAGAGAGAATGATTTAATTGGTCTGCTGTGGGGCCCAGGCAGAAATAGTATTTTATGTTCCTCAAAAGATTTTTATATGTAGCCAAGTTTGAGAACCACAATCACTGATGCATTTCACGATAGGAAATAAATATTATTTATTAAAAAAATTAAGAGGAGGGAGAGAAGAGAGAGACATAAAGAAAACTGAAAGGAAAACAAAGTTTTACCTTTTCATAGAAATACATTTGTCATGGAGGGCTGTGGGTAACATTAGTATCAGAACCAAAAAGAACAAAGGGCAAAAAATTAAACAAGGAGTGTATTTCTGGAAATGGGTTTTCTGGGATCTTGTAAAGACTAGAGATACAGAGTCTTTCAGATTATATAAACACTGAGGCTTTGGTGGTGTAGGGCCCCCAGCTAACCTCACAGAGGCTGTGTTCTTACAGTCTGTTTCAGATATTCCCTAGCTTACTGGAAAATTTTATCTCGTTGCCAAAGAAAGCTCTATTCTACTCAACTTTATTTCAATGTGCTTATGATATTTAATATATTCCCAGATAACTTTCAGTCAGTGACTCAACTCATGAAAATGTATCTAGGAAAAAATAACTCACACTAAAGAAGATCTAGAAATATATTAACAAGAGTAAAACATTAATGAGTGATAAAATTATTAATTTCTAAGTATGTTCATTTCTTTTTTGTTTTCTTTCTAAAATTAATTCAACTAACAAATTTTAACTTAGTATAGATTAAAAGAACCTTTTAATATTATGGACTATGCTTATATTTAAAGCAATTAAGAAAATAAAAGCATCACCCAGTCAAATGAATTCCTGTGAGTCTGTGATAATCAGGATAATCACCTAATTCCATAGTTTAGTTTCCACCAGAGTGGGACAATTAAGGGAATTCTAATTAACCATTAAGGAATAAACAACTAAAATGAATACAGGATGTTCTCTTGGTGCAAAGCACAATAGATTTTTTTTTTGTTTTAAAGTATCTAGGCCAGGTGTGGTAGCTCACATATGTAATCCCAGCACTTTGGGAGGCTGAGGCAGGTGAATCACTTGAGGTCAGGACTTTGAGACCAGTCTGGCCAACATGGAGAAACCCAGTCTCTACTAAACATACAAAAATTAGCTGGGCATGGTGGCACATGCCTGTAATCTCAGCTGCTCGGGAGGCTGAAGCAGGAGAATTACGTGAACCCAAGAGGCAGAGGTTGCAGTGAGCCGAGATCGTGCCACTGCACTCCAGCCTGGGCAACAGAGTGAAACTCCACCTCAAAAAAAAAATTATTTTAATTAAAAAAAAATTTAAAAAGTATGTAGATTAGGCAACCAGGGAAATAATACATACTAGCATTTTGTAAAGGGAAAAAACGTTGTTAGACAAAAAAAAGCCAAAAAAGCCTTATGGTACATTATTTTGGTAGGGAACTTTGGAATAAGGTATGGTTCAAGGGCATTTACATATGAGGACTGCAGCATTATTGTGGGGTGAATTACATCCTTTCCCCCAAAATTCCTAAGTTGAAGTCCCAGCCAACCCCTGGTATCTCAAATGAAGTCATATTTGGAAACAAGGCATTTAAAGAGATAATTAAGGTTAAATGAGAGAATATGGGTAAGCTATAATCCATGTTAGTATATTTGGAGATAGCGCTGTAAGAAAGGTCTTTTTCTTTTTTTTTTTTTTTTTTTTGAGACGGAGTCTCGCTGTGTTGCCCAGGCTGGAGTGCAGTGGCGGAGTCTCACTCTGTCGCCCAGGCTGGAGTGCAGTGGCGCGATCTCGGCTCACTGCAAGCTCCGCCTCCCGGGTTCACGCCATTCTCCTGCCTCAGCCTCCTGAGTAGCTGAGACTACAGGCGCCCACCACCACACCCGGCTAATTTTTTTGTATTTTTAGTAGAGATGGGATTTCACCAAGTTAGCCACAATGGTCTTGATTTCCTGACCTCATGATTCACCTGCCTCAGCCTCCCAAAGTGCTGGGATTACAGGCGTGAGCCACCACACCTGGCCAAGAAAGGTCCTTAAATTGAACTGAAGCCCTAAGGGTGGAGCAGTAATCCAATGCGACTTCTGTCCTTAGAAAGCGAGAGACAGACGCCAGGCATGAACATGTTAAACATCCCTAATCTGAAAATCCAAAATTGGTAATGCTTCAAAAGTCAAAATTTTTTCAGCACGGAGTTATGACGTCAGTGAAAAATTCCACACCTGGTTTCATGTGATGGGTCATATATATTATTTAAAATATTGTATAAAATTACCTTCAGGCTATGTGCATAGATGTATATGAAACATAAGTGAATTTTGTGTTTGGATCTGGACCCCATTCCCAAGATATTTCATGTAAATGCAAATACTCCAAATTCTGAAAAAATAAAAAATTCAAGACACTTCTGGTCCCAAGGATTTCCAATAAGGAATACTCAACAGCTACATGCACAGAGGAAAGAACTTGTAATAACACAAGTAGAAGAAAATCATCTTCAAGCCGTGGAGAGAGGCCTCAGAAGAAACCAAGCCTGCTAACACTTTGATCCTGGACTTCCAGCCTCCAGAACTGTGAGAAAGTTAACTTCTCTTGTTTAAGATGCCTAGTCTGTGGTATTTTATTATGACAGCTCAAGCAAACTAAAATAGGCAATAAAATGTAAAGATAGAAAATATAGAAACACATGAATAATATTTATTTAATTTTAGGGGGCTTCTTTAGCCTAATGACAAAGGCAAAAGCAATAAAAGAAAATCCAGACTAAATTAAACAAATTGGAAAAAAAATTTTCATCAAAATTACTAGGAACAATATGCGAAGACAATGAAAATCAAGAAAAACATATTTACATTATCTTATAAAAAAGGTTAATATAGTTAATGAAGACAGACCACTTCTGAATAAATACAAGAAAGCAAGCAGCTCAGTAGAAATTCTTGGCAAGAAAATAAATGGGTAATTCTCAAAAGAAGAAAAATAAATGTTTAATAATTAGCTCATGAATCTTTAAAAAACATTCAACCCCATTATTAATCATAGATGTAAATTAAAACAATCTACAATTTCATCTGCTTGATTAGGAAATTTTTCTATTTAAAAAACTGAAATTTCTTTTTAAAAAGTTTGGTGAGAATTTAAAGAAATTGACAAATTATTTCACCTAAATTGAAAAAGGAAAGGAACCTGATGGGAGTGGTGGGATTATAAGAAAGGTTTAGGTTTTTGAATTACAGAGACAGGGAAAGATATCCACAGACTCTGGAGAGGCCAAGCATGGTGGCTCAGTTATCGCAGCACTTTGGGAGGCCAAAGCAGGTAGATTGCTTGAGCTCAGGAGTTTGAGACTAGCATGGGCAGCATGGCTAAATCCTGTCTGTATTAAAAATACAAAAAATTAGCTGGATGTGCTGGCACATGCACCTGTGGTCATGGCTACTTGAGAGGCTGAGGTGGGAGGATTGCTGGAGCCTGTGAAGTTTAGGCTGCAGTGAGCTGTGATCGTGCTATTATACTTCAGCCTGGGTGACAGAGTGAGACTATGACTCAAAAAAAATTTTTTAAAAAGACTCCAGAGAATCAAACAACAAGCAACCTCAACAGAGAGTATGTGAAGAAACAGCCCTAAGAACATGGGGTTAGGTGAAAATTTACATTTGATACAAATTCTTAACTGACAATATATGTTAAAGTCATACTTTTACATATGTTTAAGCTCAGAAATTACCTTATAAAAAACCGTTTATGACAAACTGACAACCAACAGAATACTGAAAGGGGAAAAGTTGAAAGCATTCCCTTTGAGAACCGTAACAAGACAAGGATGCCCACTCTCACCACTTCTATTCAACAGAGTACTGGAAGCCCTAGCTAGAGCATTCAGACAAGAGAAAGAAATAAAGGGCATTTAAATTGGTAAGGAGGAAGTCAAACTGTCACTGTTTGCTGATGATATGATCATATACCTAGAGAACCCTAAAGACTCCTCCAAAAAGCTCCTAAAACTGATAAATTCAGCAAAGTTTCCGGCTACAAAATTAATATACATAATTCAGTAGCCCTGCTATACAACAACAGTGACAAAGCTGAGAATCAAATCAAGAACTCAACCACTTTTACAAGAGCTGCAAAAAAAAAAAAAAAAAAAATTGGAATTATACCTAACCAAGGAGGTGAAAGACCTCTACAAGGAAAACTATAAAACACTGCTGAAAGCAATTACAGGCAACACAAACAAATGGAAACACGTCCCATGTTCGGGGATGGGTAGAATCAATATTGTGAAAATGACCATCCTGCCAAAAGCAATCTACAAATTCAATGTAGTTCCCATGAAAATACCACCATCATTTTCACAGAACTAGAGAAAACAATCCTAAAATTCATATGGAACAGAAAAGAGCCCACATAGCCAAAGCAAGACTAACCAAAAAGAACAAATCTGAAGGCATCACATTACTTGACTTCAAACTTTACTATATGGCCATAGTCACCAAAACAGCATGGTAGTGGTATAAAAATAGGAACATAGACCAATGGAACAGAATAGAGAACCAATAAATAAACCCCAAATACTTACAGCCAACTGATCTTTGACAAAGCAAGCAAAAACATAAATTAGAGAAAGGACACCCTATTCAAAAAATGGTGCTGGGATAATTGGCAAGCCACATGTAGGAGAATGCAACTGGGTCCTCATCTCTCACCTTATACAAAAATCAACTCAAGATGGATCAAGGACTTAAATCTAAGACCTGAAGCTATAAAAATTCTAGAAGGTAACATCGGAAAAACCCTTCTAGCCATTGGCTTAGGCAAAGACTTCACGACCAAGAACCCAAAAGCAAATGCAACAAAAACAAAGATAAACAGGTGGGACTAAATTAAAGAGCTGCTGCATAGCAAAAGGAACAGTGAGCAGAGTAAACAGACAACCTACAGAATGGGAGAAAAATCTTCACAATATATACCTCTGACAAAGGACTAATATCCAGAATCTACAATGAACTCAAATAAACTAGCAAGAAAAAAGCAATCCCATCAAAAAGTAGGCTAAGGACATAAACAGACAATTGTCCAAAGAAGATATACAAATGGTCAACAAACATATGAAAAAATGTTCAACATCACTAATGATCAGGGAAATGAAAATCAAAACCACAATGTGATACCACCTTACTACTGCAAGAATGGCCATAATCAAAAAATCAAAAAATAATAGATGTTGGTGCGGATGTGGCACAAAGGGAACACTTTTACACTGCTGGTGGGAATGTAAACTAGTACAACCACTATGGAAAACAGTGTGAATAGTCCTTAAAGAACCAAGAGTAGAAATACCATTTGATCCAGCAATCCCACTACTGGGTATCTACCCAGAGGAAAAGAAGTAATTATACGAAAAAAGATACTTGCACACGCATGTTTATAGCAGCACAGTTGACAGTTTCAAAAATATGTAACCAAATGCCCACCAGTCAATGAGTAGATAAAGAAAGAGTATATACACACACACACACACACACACACACACACACACACACTACTCAGCCACGAAAGGGAACGAATTAGTGGCATTTGGCATTTGCAGCAACCTGGATGGAACTAGAGACTGTTATTCTAAGTAAACTAACTTGGGAATGGAAACCAAACATCCTATGCTCTTACTCGTAAGTGGGAGCTAAGCTATGAGGATGCAGAGGATGCAGAGGATGCATTGTATCATAAGAATGATACAATGGACTTTGAGGACTCGGGAAAGGGTGGGAGGTGGAAGAGAGATGAGGGATTAAAAAACTACAAATTGGGTTCACTGTGTACTGTTCACGTGATGGGTGCACCAAAATCTCTCAAATCACCACTAAAGAACGTACTCATGTAACCAAACACCACCTATTCCCCGAAAACCTATGGAAATAATAAATAAAATTAAAATTAAATTTAAAAATAAAAGAAATTACCTTATAAGAAATTGTGGTAGGCTATTGGTTCTCTATACAAATATATATTCCCTTCCTCTTTCCTAGTAATACAACTTAGTTTTGAATAAACACATTTCGTAGATTTCCTTATGATTTAACCACGCAACTAAATTTTGGTTAATTCATTGTAAGTATAATTAATACACAAAAGCTTCAAGAAAACAATTTTAAAAGACACCAGGTATGTGTCCTTCCTTTGCCTCTTTCCCTGCCTTATTTTTTCTTGCCAGCCAGATGAAAGCTATAATAACCAGAGCTAAAGCAAACTCTTGAATTATCATTCCTCTCACAATATTTCAGGCAGCCCCCTCTCCGTCTCCACTCTCACTGTACTGCTCTAGTGCAGTTCATTACTTTTTATCCTCACTATTGGACTAGCCATCTATTAGAATAATCAACTTATCTGTGTAATATCCTTCTATACTTGCTAGTAGGAGGTACTGTATTAATATTTATTGAATGCAAAATATCATGTTCTAAGAATAGATTTTCAATGAGCTTATAGTGGATTTGTGTTTTCATTTAGGTTTTAGTAATATTTAGGCATGGTGAGGCCCACAGATCAGGAAATGACTGCCATGGAAAAGATAGGTTTTTATACTCACAGAACCTGAGTGAAGGGAGAACACTTCACTGTAGGGAGGCTGCACAGGCAAACACTCGGATTGATCCGGAGGCAGAAGGAGATGCAAAATTGTGGGCAAGCGCCTTTATTGCAGTTTCTATGAGAAGCAGATTTACAATTGGCTAGTTTGAATAATTTCAGTAAACTCGGGGGCATGGTGGCTCTTCCTAGTCTCTGGTAATTAAACCTAGGATGATTAGGGCAGGTAGATAGTGGCTCTGAGTGTGACGGCTTCATAAAGGAAGTAGGTGGAGATGTGGGCTCTAGAGTGGTTGGTTTGCATTTGAAAAATGCACTCAAGAGGAAGTGCTTTACTATTGCTAGGAAGCATCAGAATACAGAAAATAAGACATAGTGAATATGATTTGTATACCCAGCTCCCCTATTCTGGTGACACTCCTTCATCAATAAGGTCACCAAGGTGGAGTTCCAGTAGGCATGTTTGTCTAATGTATCCTGCCGTCTCTCTACAATAACTAGTCTGAGGGTGACCATTTGACCCAAGATAGGTCAGAGAATTTAGAAATAAAACTAAAGGATGCCTGCAACAATGTGTCCAGGCTCGTGTATTCCCCGGAGTCATGTTTTCTTTATGTACGGTAAAGTAGAGATGGACGTTCCACAGAAAGGGAAATTAAATAGATGAGCTGAAACACACAGTTTCTGTCACCCAGGTTGGGGTGCAGTGGTGAGATCATGACTCACTGCAGCCTCAACCTCCCAGGCTCAAGTGATCTTCTTGCCTCGGCTTTCTAAGTAGCTGGGACCACAGGTGTACACCACCACACCAGCCAATTTTTAAAATTTTTTGTAGAGATGGGGTCTCACTATGTTGCCCAAGCTGAACTTCTGAGCTCAAGTGATCTTCCTGCCTCAGCCTCCCCCCACAGTGTAGGATTACAGATGTGAGCCACTGCCCCTACCCCCTCTCACTTTTTAATCTTTGATTTCCATATCTTCCTGACGTTGTACCATATTCTTGATTGATGTGATTCCTTGTACCTTTACATGAACTCCTTTTACGTTTGACAGTGTTGGCAGTTAGAGTAAATCTAGTTAACATAGAGATTTCCAAGAAATTATCATTAGAATGTACAAAGACTAAAAGACCAAAAAGTAACCTAGTGGAAAAAACTCCAAGCACACTTGGTTTCTTTCTCTGAACTCCTTCCTGACCTTTTAATCAACGATTTTAAACTCTTCATTTCCCAGTTCCTCTGAGACAACTTTCCAGACAATTTGTGTGAGTCATTTGACTCAAATCCTTCAAGAATCCATTCCATACTAAACATTCTTATTCCCCTCTTAAATGAGATTGTGTATATGCTGGGTCTAGTATGATCTTGTCGCCCATTGATTTTTCAATATCTATTCATTTCCTTCCATTGTCTTGATTGTCACTTATTCAATGCATGCTTCTGTAAAACAATTAAACAAGTAGGCATGTATGCAACGGATCAGTGGAGGAATTAGGTTACTATAACCAGAAGTTGTTTTGATTGGTCCATGATTTTGACCACTACAATAATTCTTGTAGCACCAACATACAGCAGATGAAACCAAAGAGTACTTGCACAGCTGAGCTCAGCAAGTCATACAGGAATTCCCGGACTGCGCAGAGTGTGCTTCAACCAACGTTTTCAGATGAGTTATCCATGTGCTTTCTTTTGAAAGTGCTTCTTTATTGCCTAGTTCTCCTGGTCTTCGGGTAATTTGCTCTTGCCTTCAAAATTCAACAGCCTTAAACATTTTATACTATGTTTACCTCAAGGGTCCTTGCCTCCCATCCACCCCCACTGTTTTAGGTAGAGTCATACATTTACTCAAAAGTTCCTCTATTTACTAGGAATTCAGATACTTTAAACTGTACTAGCAGCTTGAATATGATTGCTAGTGTTTATATTAGTGCTGGGTAACTAGATTACCTATGATTTCAGTGGCTTGCTCCAATACTATTTTTCCAAAGGCTTTCTTCTTTTCATATTATTCAAAACATGAGGTTTTTCAGAAACTTATATGTTACAGTAAAAAAAAAAAAATCTGTGTGTGCGTATGTGCATTTGTGTGTGCGTTCCATTAAGTGGAATAGACAAGAAAATTGGTTTCTAGTCCTGGCTTAATATTTGTGCATGTATAAATATCTGTAGATTTGGTTGTTAACTGTTTCTTTATGTTTGGCTCAACTAGATGTAATTTTCATGTGTTCCACATCTACTCAAGTTCAACTGTAGCTTATACATCTTATATACTAGTATATATCTGTACCGATATTTCAGGACTAAATGACATATACTTCAATTATGTAGTGGAAAAATTATATATGAGTATAAAGTAGGAGCCTTCTTGATAAACATCAATATTCATTTTGAGTGAAAATAAGTAAAATATAGTTCAGTAAAAATGGAAACACCATATCATCACAAAAACTCTATGCAATGGTCCTACTGACCTAGATCCTAAATATGAAAATTTTCATTGTCATTGAAACAAATTCTAATTAGAAATTACATGAACTGAGGATAATGTTAACATTCAGATTTACAGTTGCCTCTATTTGAACCTAGGGATATTTCAAGGGCTATTTAAGCCTTACTAAAATGTCTGGTCAAATAATTATTTTTTCTTAATAATGTAAATGAACCAAGTTATATCATTGTGCTTGGATTATAATTAAATATAATTATATTAATAGTAATATTTATCATTATAATATGATTTAAATTACATTTTTAAATATAGACCTTTTTAACATTCAGATGCTAATTCTCTTAATTTTATTGAGAGATAAAGCAGTATTTGATGATTTCAAGGTACGTAACAAATGGTTTACTTGAATACAATGTTAAAGTAATTAGATTCATCCATGGCTTTGACTTTTTTAATTTAAAATCACTGATTAAAAGTATAATAAACTCAATCACATAGTTCTTTTGTTTAAAGAATGGCCTTGGACCAGAAAAAAAGAACTAGTCCCTGATTTTATAAGAAACAAGTAATTGGGCTCTAAGGCTTAATGAAGAACAATGCAGTTAGTTGATCATGGCAATGAAGTCTCTCTTCTGAAGCCTGTCTCAAATCAATTCAAGCAATAAAAGAAAGTTAGATTTATAACTGGCAATGACTGAATGTAGAGGGTTGATGTCACAAAGACTATCTCCACCTCTTCGTTAAGAATTTTGTTTAGTGTCAACTTTATTCACTGAGGGTACTTCCTCAAAAGGCTGAACCCAGGAATGCTGGGAGCTTTTGGTTAACACCTTTAGACTATTAGAATCTGAAGGTAAGTATACTTCTCTCTTACATCTTCAGGTTGAATAAACCTGCAAAGGATTGATAGCTTGGTTGTGATTTCTTTTTGTTTATTAATTAAGCAACCATAATCCTGAGACTGTGACCTTAAATACAGCAAATGTATTTGCTTCCAAGGTAGAGAAACTGGAAAACTCAATGTTAAATAATGTCTCTTTATGTAATATTGCATTGTGTGTTAGGTAGTAGATTGCACTGTGTGTTAGGATGGGCTTGATGATATACTTTTAAAATACCACTTAAATCTTAAAAAATACTATATATATACGCACATATATATATATATATAACTCAACTATACATATCTAAAAAACAAGTTGGCTAAGAGATTCTCATCTACAGATTCAGGAAGATGAGGCAGATGTAGATATACTATCTGGGATATAAGGCCCCTTTTAACATGCAAGGGAGACCTGATGAGACTTACTTTTGAATTCAAAATAAATCTGTAACGATGAAAATTGTACACTACATTTTAAATATTTCAACTGGAAATGACACATGCTACTTCCTCACAGCACATTGGCCAATTCTGATTCTTATTGACCCGTTTAACTAAAAGGGAAACATGCGGGAAAGAAACTGATGTCATTCAAAGAGTAAATATCTCTACCACATGCGGTGATACATTTTCAAAAAGACAGCATCTGTTTATAAATCAATGACAAAGATGTCACCATTCTTACCTTTTGATAATCAAAATTCTTCAATCAATAAAAACCAGTTACCTTTCACTGAAAAGTCAAAATTAATCTTTGTATCCATATATGATATATAGTTAGTAAAATATCAATTTATGTATGGACATGTTATTAATATTGATAAGTAAGTTGGAAGAGAACATATAATCAGGAGATAAACTAATTATAACAAGCTATTTTTAAACATGACTTTGACACTTTTTGTTAATCAATATTTGCAGGGATTTAGTTACTTCAAATAAGCCTATTTTGTCATTTGAGAAGCATTGCGTACTTCATCCTGCCAATAAGTAAAGTTTCATTTAAAGTGCAGGCTTAAATGTATGGATTCTTCTATAAAGAGTATATTTAACAAATTATATCAAGTGTTGGCAGAAAATTTTAGCTCTAGGTACAAAAGGTGCATTGCAGTGTATAAAGAAACCTAGTATAAAAATAGTCATATATAATCAGGTAAAGAAAGAAACTGCTATGACCTGGGTCTGGTTCAAGTTAAATAATATTTGTAGTTAACAAATATTCTTTTCCCGCCCTTTCCTTACTGAAAAGATTTTGAATCCAAAATAAAACAAGCCTGTAACAATAAGGATTATTTGAATATTAAAAAATTTTAAAACATCACTTAACAATGTTTTAAAATACTTAAACTAGTACTATTAAAACATTCTACTATTAGAAACACTAATGATATGTCTGATATCACTTATTTTTTTTCAAGACCATTTGAAATCATTGGCAAACTAGATAATGCCAAACATTTCTCCCTGTGGCCTTGGACCAACCCAGTTCTCCCTAGTTTCTTGCTTGCAGTTCTCAAGAAGAAACTCAGAATGTGCTAGGAATGCAACATTCTGAGATAAGAAGGGACGTTCTAGAACAGCCCGGTCTTAGTTCAAATTTCTTTTAGAAACAGAACATCCTTTCATGCTTTCACCTAAGTTATAAAACCCAGGGCGGGCTTTGCCAGATCATCAGCTGTGGTGCAACAGGGTCTTGCACAGATGAGATTACATCCACCCTGGGCAGCTTTCTTGAGCCTTGGGGGACCAGCTTAATGATGAACCCTAATTTTCTGTTGTCCCTTGCTGCCTATCTGTACGTAATAAACCCGCTTTATGTAATTAGTTTATGAGGATTCTGTCTCACCAGACTCAGGCAAGTTGGTAACCAGTAGACAGTGAACCTGCTTGACAGATATGTCAAGTGCTGTGTGACTGCTTTTACCTCCAAGTTGTTTATCACTGTTTTAGTAGTATTCTATGATGTTATGGCTACATATGGCTGTTTCCATGCCATTAAGCATCAGGAGGGAAATCAACTCAGCTGATATTTGGTGTAACATCTAGCTATTTCAATTTTTCAGAGTCTTAAGGATTCAATTAAATATGATGGTGTTGATGAGTGATGGCAATCATATCAAACATTGCTTGAGTAGTTACCATGAAGAATTATTGTATAAAGCACTTGGCATATAGTAACTTTTAAATCCACACTATCATTCTAATAATATAAGGCAGGTTCTTTTGTTTTGTTTTGTTTTTTTAGCTGGGCATGGTGGTGCATGCCTGTAATCCCGGCTACTCACGAGGCTGAGGCATGAGAATCGCTTGAACCCAGGAGGTGGAGGTTGCAGTGAGCTGAGATCGTGCCATTGCACTCCAGCCTGGCGACAGAGCGAGACTCTGTCTCAAAATAAATAAATAAATAAATAAATAAATAAATAAATAAATGTCACTTTTAATTATTTCATTAGGGCGAGATGTGCATTACTTTTCTACTCATTGCCTTCTTCTTTTTCTTGTCTGACATTTACTTTAAAAGAAGACTGCGAGCGATCTGAATGCAACACTCGGAGCACTCAAATGTGAGCAGAAATACAGCTTTTCATGTAAACTAAGTGAAGAAGGTAAGTTCTGAAGTTAAACTCTATGGAGTTATCTTTATAGATTTATTTGTGTGTGAACTTTATATAAAGCAATCACTGTTTTGTGATCTCCCAAGTTCAATTTGAATCCAGAGTGATGCTGCATTGAGATCATTATCATCATGCCACTATTTTTCACTCCAGATAAAATCACTGTTTAAAGGACACTCAGGAGTCATACATACAGTTTTTAACAGGAAAAAAATGAAAGATGCAAAAGTGGCTATAATAAAAAAGAATGTCTTTTTACATTATCTTTGAAGACAACACCTAAGACATCTGAAATTATAAAAATGCCAGCTTCTTTTATTTTACCCTCAAGGTATTTTTTTTCTTTTCATAATTAAGATTATTCGGGGGGTGTGAGTGTTTTGCTATGTATGAATGTAGGGAAAGATTGAGTAGCTACTGTCAAAAGATTCTGGAAACATTCTCTGTTCCCTAAATTATCTCTTCCTTTTCCTTGAACTGAAAACTGGTCATCATTCAATTGAATTTTCTAGATATTCAGTTGAAAAGGCAACATCTTATACCATTATTGGATTCTACCCTGAGGTCCTGGGTTTACCAGTGTCTCTGAGCAGTTCACAGAGGGGTCCTGTAAGTAGAAAACATGGAGGGGAACACACTGGGGAAGGAGACAAATGCCAGGAATTAAGAAAGAGGCACTGAAAAGGGAAAAAGAAAAATCCACAAAACTGAACACTCTGGAATGCACACATTTCAGCCCAGCTCTCCGTAGATGTGTGCAGTGCATTGCACAAAGCTTTCTGCAGACTAGAAAATCCATGTTTGTGGAACATGTGAAAATGAAGGAACAAAACAGAATAGAATTCTAAATGTGATGTAAAAAGTGTTGTCCCTAAAACAATTAAGAAGGCTTGCAGTGTAGTTCATTTATATTTATTGGCCAGTGAATATTCAGATGCTTGCTATATCTCATGTGTTTTTCAAAGTACCTTGTATAGAGTTAATAATTTAATCCTCATAAGAACTTTATGAGATGGAAGCATTATTACTACTATTTTATAGATGAAAAACATAAGGCAAAAGAAGATCATGTCATTTGCCTAAAATCATACAGCAGATAGCAAATGGGTAAGCTAGGACTAACACCTAGTGGTCTTATTGCTGATCTGGGATATTAACAGCTGACATAAATACTATTTAGTATTAATAGTAAGCTCCCTGAGTATCAGGTGAATGACTGTACTTAAGAAATGATTGTACTTTAAGTAACGTTCTGAAATTTCAGAAGTCATTTAAATTTCGAACTTTAGAATTACAATGATACGATAACCCTTTCTTTACAATATGAATTGTCTTCCTACTTCTTTGTTCTGTGGAATGGTTGCTACATTTTATAAGATTTCTGTACAAACCATTTTTAAACCAACTTGAATAAAAAGGAGAGACATCAAATTTATAATCTGTCACTTATTTTTCTATGAATAAGCTACTTGCTTCCTTGCTTCCTTATTAACTTGTCCAAAAAGGAGAGAGCCTTCTTATTGTGTTCCTGGACAGACTACAGAATATGCCAATTATTTTGCTTTATTTTTCTTTTTAGAAAAATATATTTGATAGTAAGTTGAAGATAGCACCATAATGTATTCAGAATGCAAATAAATAAAAAAGAATATATCTAGCTTTATGTTGGCTATTTTCTAAATATTATCTAATAAATTGAGTTGTAAGTTTTTGCATAGAAAGTAAGAAAGAAATATGAAACTTAAATAGCTTTCCTATTTGCAGCTAAAGTAGATAACTACCAAATATATACCATACATATTACGGTACATATAATGTGTGTGTGTGTGTGTGTGTGTGTGTGTGTGTGTGTACGTGTGCACGGACAGTCCTCGATTTACAACGGTTTGATTTATAATCCTTCAACTTTACAGTGGGTTTATCAGGACATAACCTCATCACAAATCCAGGAGCTTCTGCATTTACAATGATTTGACTTACAATTTTTTGACTTTATAATGGGTTTATTGGGTATGGAATGCATTTTCAACTTATATGGGTTTATCCATATATAACACCATCATAAGTCCAGGAATATCTGTATTACCATTATATATAGATATATATATAATTTATATGTATGTATCATATAATTATATATATATATATATATATATATATCATATGCATAATCTACCTTTCCTCATTTCTACTCACAACCAATTCTCAAACCTGGCTGCATTTTCCAGGGAATATCTGTTGACTCTTTTGTGATTTTCCTGCCTTCCCCCTTATAGAAATAAATAATACACAAGTCTTGTCACTGTTTGTGGTTTGTCCTATTAGTTTGTACTTTTGGATTTTGTAGGGATGTATTTTCATTTAATTTTGTTGCATATGTTTTTCATGACTTGCTGACTTTGCTAATTAGGTTCTCTGACTGTTTTGTGTGAGGACTTAGGAAAATCCAAAAGCTATTATGCCACTACAATTGCCATCTTTCCAGAATTCTTCATCTTTTTTCTTTGAGACAGGGTCTGACTCTGTTACCCAGGCTGGAGTGCAGTGGCATGATCATGGCTCATTGAAACCTCCAACTCCTGGGCTTAGCCTCTTGCAATTCTCCTGCCTCAGCCTCCTGAGTAGCTGGGACTACAGGCGCAAGCCACAATGCTTGGCTTATGTTTTAATTTTCAATTTTTTTTTTTTTCAGACGGAGTCTTGCTCCATCACCCTAGCTGGAACGCAGTGGTGCGATCTCGGCTCACTGCAAACCTCTGCCTCCCTGGTTCAGGCAATTCTCATGCCTCAGCCTGCTGAGTAGCTGGGATTACAAGCATGTGCCACAACGCCCAGCTAATTTTTCTATTTTTAGTAGAGTTGGAGTTTCACCATGTTGGCCAGGCTGGTCTCGAACTCCTGGCCTTAATTAATCCACCTGCCTCAGCCTCCCAAAGTGCTGGACTGCAGGAATGAGCCACAGTGCCCGGCCTAAAATTTTTATAGAGATGGGAGTTTCACTATGTTGCCCAGATTAGTCATTCCTTTCATTTAAAAAGTTTTATTGATTTATAATTTACATGCCATAAGTTTAGCCATATAACATTTAATGTTTCTAATATGTTTATGAAGTTGTACAATGATCACTATAAACAACATTAGAATATTTTTATCACTCCATGAAGAAACCCAATATCAATTAGCAGCCATTCCCCTCTCCCCATTCCCTCACACCTAAGTAACCACTCACCTCCTCTCTGTCTCTATACATTTGTCTGTTCTGTACATTTCATATCAATGGTAGCATACAATATGTGGGGATGTTTTATGATCAGTAAAATGTGACAGAAATAAACATTCAGTCATTTTTTAAGTTATTTCACATGCAGAACATCAACAACTTCATGATAAATTGTGTGGTGACCTGGTAGTTTATGATCTGAAGTTGGTTTCCTAATACAGGGCAATAAAGCATCATTTGAGAATATGGCATGTTAATAATAATGATGACCACTGTAATAATAAAATGTAACATTAATTTTTCTATGTGCCAAGACTGTTCAAAGAACTTCACATATTTTAACGTATTTAATATTCATGTAAACGTATGATGAAAATACTATTTTCATCTTCTCAATTTTATTGATGAGGAAACCGACGCAAAGCGAAATGAAGAAACTTACCTGAGCCAGATGACACAGCCAGATGCCATGCCCACATAGTTTGACTCAAGGCTCCTTGTTCTTAACCACTATGATAAAGTGCCTTTCTGACTTTGACGTGTTTTGCTAAATACCATTCTCACCATCTGAAGTGGCAACTGCAGAAAGCAACTTAGTGTAACTTACACTCTAAGCTCCTTCTGATCATCCATGTTACACAGACCTGATATTTCACCTGCATAAAGCTAAACACTAAGATGATTAAAAAGAATGTTGTTTAGTTCCATTCATAGTCTTTCAAACTTTCTCATAATTTTTTCATGTTTTCTATCTTAACTGAAAAACAATTTGAAAATCCTTGTTAATTGTAGATGGCTGGGCTGTTAAAAACCAATGGCTACTTTTTCTGAAAATGTATTAAATGTGTAATTTACTATATTCAACTATAATTGACAACATGATGCCTCTTTACTTAATGAAAAAGAAAGAACTATAGGCCTAAAAGCAGTTGATCACTAAACGTAAGATATTAAAGTATAACTTAGTAAGCCAAGTGTTGGCTTCAATTGAACAAAATTAATTGTAATCACGTAAACTCTCACAGAACTCTATTACGAAAAAGGGAAGAAAGAGTGCAGACTTCTACATGAGACTAGCAAAGCTAGAATAATAACTCTCAGTTTCCTTCTGTCCTGAATCAACCCATCTAGGAATCATTCTGCTTCCCTTGAGAGGAAAGGAATTTCTCTTATTGAATAAAGCTTTCTTTCTAAAATCTTAGAGAAAGTTTTGAAGAATTTTTCCTTTTCAAGTTGCCAGAATCATTTCTAGATTGAGTTACTAACCATAATAGAATTTCAACATATTACTTGGAAAGTTACTAGGAGAGAGTTCAAGAAGCATATTCTCATGTCTAAGATTCCCTTTACACAAATACATGTGCAAAACCTCATCTTCTTTCATTAAGACACTCTCTCCAGCATCTTGAAGCCCAAATCCTGTCTCCTGCATGACATAGATACCTGGAGCTACATGCTCCTTACATGGTATGAAACACATAATTTCTGATTTTATTTAACATAAGGTAGCTGAGTAACAACCACCTTTTCTGGAAACATAGGTTGGAGGAGAGGGAATTCGAAGTTTAAAGAATGTATTTCTAAGTAGAATCTTTTGAAACAGTACCACTCATAAAAAGAGCAGATGCTGTAACACTACAAAAAAACCAAAGTCACATTTTTGAACTGCCTCAGTGAAATGATATTTTAATATGAGAGCAACAATAAAATTAAACAGCATTCAGGTTTAGCTCTTTTAGTCGCGGGGACTTGCTGCCAAGTGAATCAGTATAGAAAACCACAGAAGGCATATCTTTCACTGGCAGTATATCTCACACAGGATTATTTTGGAAACCAAATGGAATAATTCCTCTGAAAGAACCTTGCAAACTGTGAAATTGTACAAATGTATTTATAATTATTTTTGACATTTTCTGGGTAGTTTTGTAAAGAGAATCTAAGTGTAGTTATACTTCTCATTTAGAAACATGATAAATGGCGGTACTTTTTTTTCAAGTTACTGTTCACAGGCTGGAGTAGCATCTTTAAATCTCCCAAGCACAGCTCTCAGCTCAATTTCTGCTTCAATTTTGCCTGATTGAATTTATTTCTTATAGATGCACTTACTACCAGATTTCTAACCTGTTTTTACTGGTTCATTTATAATTAGTTTAAATTAGGTAAATACATGTAAATATTAGGCTCACATTTAAAATTGTGTTGAAAAACAAATTCAGAAGGGAAAAATTATCCATGTTAGAAAGCGGATGGTACGGAAGGAAGAGAGGTGTTACTTGTGCAACTGAAAGATGAAGAAGATATCGCTATGGTCTGACTGTTTATTCTCCTCCCTTCATTCATATGTTGAAATCCTAAACCCAAAGGTGATAGTGTCCAGAGATGGGGTCTTCAGGAAGATGACTAGGTCATGAGGGCAGAGCCCTCATGAATGGGATTAGTGCCCTTATAAAATAGGCCCAAGGGAGCTCATTTTATAAGGGCTCCACTTGGACTCCACCAAGTGAAGACACAGCAAGAAGGTGCCATCTATTAACCAGCAAATGAGCCTTCACCAGATACCAAATCTGCCTGTCTTGATCTTGGACTTCCCAGCCTCCAGAACCACAGGGAAAAAAATTTCTGTTGTTTATATGCTACCCAGCTTATGGCATTTTGTAACAGCAGCCCAAACAGACTAAGATAGGTATTATCTCAACATACAGTTTTAAGTTCACAATTATAAAATTATACCTTTCCATTGATTTGTGTATGTGTACAAAATACATAACAGTAAAGCATTGTAAACTTGTGTAACAAAAATAAAATGGCTAGATTAAAAATGTGCTTCCAAATGGAAGTGCTTTCTGGAAACTTACCAGTTGTGCAGTTTTTAAATTCAATATCATCAATTGCAGCTCCTCCTCCCAGGTCCCTTGTTCTGATACCTTGAAATATGACTTCAAAATTCCTTAACTTTCCTAGCAGGATGTCAGCCTTTTGCCAATGATTACCAGGGTTCTGCTTACTTTCTTGCCATACTTTTGATAGTCCTTTCTCTGTCTGAAAGTAAAGAAGTTTGTATGAGGGAAATAATCAAACACAAAAGAAGATGATGCAGTGTGGGGCAAAACCCAGTTATTTATCTCAGAAGCATTTGACCAATAAAAACTGAAAAAACAAAGAAGCACTGAATCTGTGAAAGGTGATCTTACAAATTGAGTCATTCTTGTCAAACCCAACTCAAAAAGACTCAAGAGGTCAGGGGTCGGGGAAAGCACTAAGGGCTCGTAATACTGCTCCAAAAATATAATTCTCTACAAACCTGGCTCCTGAAACTGACAGCTGTAACCTGAAATTAGTTGTATCTGACAGATACTGAAACAATCTGCTGAGACTCTAAAACTAGTTTTACCCATCATGCACCAGTTAGAGCTTTCCAGCTCTGCACAACTTTACTAGTGCCAATGAATTTTCTTTCACAATAATATGGAACATTTCTTTTTTCTTCCCCCTCCCCTCAAAAACTTTTATTTTAGGTTCAGGGGTACGTGTGCAGGTTTGCTATACAGGCAAACTCCTGTCATGGAGGTTTGATGTACAGATTATTTTGTCAACCAGGTACTAAGCATAGTACCAAATAGTTATTTTTACATTTCTCTTTTATAAAACCTCCAATCTTCTCTTTGTTCTTCAGATATACTGAAGACCACCGGGTCTGTATATATGCCCCAAATTGCAATTCTTGCTTCCCTCAAAAAAATTTTTAGAGATTTTTATCTATATTTTATTTGACTTCAACATCTCTGATGATAACTATGACATAGTTTATCTCACCAAAACAGAGGCATATTAATCTACTAAAATATTTCCCAAAATAAAAACTAGCAGAATTCGCAACACACGTATTTTGGAATTTTTAGAGACACCATTATTATAAATTGCTCTACTCGGATCACAAGATCAAGAGATTGAGACCATCTTGGCCAATATGGTGAAACCCCATCTCTACTAAAAATACAAACATTAGCCGGGCGTGGTGGCACACGCCAGTAGTCCCAGCTACTTGGGAGACTGAGGCAGGAGAATCACTTGAACCCAGGAGGCAGGCGTTGCAGTGAGCTGAGATCGCGCCACTGCACTCCAGCCTGGCAACAGAGTGAGACTCTGCCTCAAAATAAATAAATAAATAAACTAAACTAAAATAAAACAAATTGCCCTACTCAGTAAAATCTACCTTTCCTTGCATTTACACAAATTATTTATATTTGATGAAAACTGAACAATTTACTGAGGCCTTGGGTTTCTAGTTCCAGATGTAATTAGCTATCCAAACTTCTACTCATATTGTGTAATTATTCAGGTTGTAGCTTCTTACAAAAAGCTTAAATCACTGACAGAGGAAAAGAGAAAAGGAGAAACATGTTGGAGAAATCACTTATCCCTGATGGATGTAATAAAGGATTTATGAAGTGAATTCAGTTAGGAGGAAAAGTGATAATTTTAACAACAGATTCCAAAAATTATATTATTATATAATCATATTATTTTGATTTTCATAAATTCTGTTATAATGTAATTATTATATAAGTAACAACTATGATTGTTTTTACATAAAATTTTTTAATTGAAAAGATAAAATTAATTTTCTAAAAATCTTATGTAAACATGGATAGCTGAGGGTGGTTAACTAGTAATACAATATTCTAATACATGAACAGTCCCAGTACAAGGTAACATGACATAAAATGACATATAATCCCAATGACCGAATAAAAATGACAACTTCATTAAAACAGCATATTAACCAGTTGAGCACAGGACAAGGCTGAGATTGTATACACTATTCTTTGTTATTCTAGGTCTAGCCCTTTCTGGGAACTAGATGATTTAACAAATCATAATGATGGATATTTGGCAAAGAAAAAAATATACATATATACACACTATTATGTTTATGGTTAGTTCCCAGTTAATATTCCTTGGTCCTGGGTCATTGCATTTTCATGATGATTCACAAGAAAAACTTTGTCTCTAAAGCTTGTAATCAAAAAAGTAGACTAGAGAAGATTTAGGGAAATGACATACAGAAGGGAAGCAAAATGTTCCAATAGATTTATAGCATATAGGTATGAAATGTGTAATTTACACATAATTTAAAGAATAAAAGCTAAAGAGGAAAAAAAAGGAATGTCTGAAGAGGGGCTACCAAGGAGCTGGACATTCATAACTTCGTGTTTTCAGGGAACTAATGCTAATAAATATGTCTGATGTCTTGTTCTGCTGAGGTAGATGAAGATGTTTGATCAAGTGGTTCTTCCTCTCCATGGTTACCGAGAGCACAACTATGCATCAGTTAATCTAAAATTAACTTTGCAAAACAACTAACAGTTTATAGATAGATCATTAACATCCTTGACAAAACAACAACAAATCTGACACCCACAGATTCATGTAACTTCTGTATTGAAAGGGGTGGAGAATTCACACCTAATTAATGGAATTTCGTATCTTTTTGATGACTAAAGAAGATAAGTCCTTCTCAAGGTTAGTCTTTGACTCTCAGTGATGTCTTAGTGATTTGAAATCAAAGGGATGGTTAATTAAATTAAAAATTAAAGGAAAGGGTGGTCTATCTGACTCCTAGCAATATTACAGGCTGGATATTGACAAAAGCCTGTCTTGATTTACAAACTTAATTCACTTTACTAACTTTTCCTATTTATCTGCCTCTGCAGTTTATAAAGCCACTCATTAGGTATGGCAAATCCCCAAAGAATTTTCAACAAATACCATCAAAGAAGAGCATACGATCACGCTAATCAAAAAATGCGAATCATTTCTTAAATCTTACAACTTGTCTTCTAGTAAAAAAAGAGACAAATAATGCATTCACTGTCATTTTATGTGTTAGAAAAAAAAATGGGTAAATTATTTTGCAAACGAATCATGGATCAACCTAATGGTGATGTACTATAAGACATCATTCTACTATACTAGCTGTTGTTTCATAATATCAAATGTTATCCCTATAACTAACAAAAATACTCATCTAAATGTGGAATGGAGGTTTATTTCCTTATCCATTCATTCATTCCTTTATTCAGCAAACTTTCTGTGCTCACACAGTGCCAGGTACTATGTTAGATGCCAGGGACAAAAAGGTGAAAAGACATGGAGCCTACCTGGAGACGTACTAATTTAATACAGGAGAAAAAGTCATAAAAATAAACTACTGTAAAAGCACTCTCAGTCTTGCTCATGCTCTGTGTGTGTGTGTGTGTGTGTGTGTGTGTGTGTCTGTGTATGTGTGTGTGTGTGTGTGTGTTCCTAACAGAGAAACTTTTTAAAAAGTGATTATGTAGTCAATTCCCAAATTTTTATTCCACATATGTCGTTACTTCACCTATTTACTTAATATCCTGATTTAAATTCATTCTAAATTGTGAAAGTGAAAAACTGCTCACTCCTAACTCATAATTTTGCCACTGCTGAGGGACTTTTCCCTTGTATATATACAGATTTTAATCTCAATACCCAGAGGATATAAGCATGTGAAAAGTGATTAACCACATTAATAAGAGTAAAAAATAGACACTAATACAAAAATGGTTAGAGATATTGAAGAATTATTTTCTTCTCATAATTTAACCTTTTTCCAAATTTTGAATTGATTCCTCACATATAGTATATGCATGGAACTTTTGTCTTGCAAATTGCATATTTATTTTATAGTGTGTTTGTCTTCATACTTTATGCCAGTCTTTCCTTTATGGGCTGTGCAAAGAAAGGCAATAAGAAACACTACAAAGACAGAACCACTTCAAATTGTACAAACATATTAATAGACAGATCTCCTTGGAAGTTCCATTTCATATGTTTGAAGTGAATATACAACTTTTTCCCAAATAACTAGCCATTTTTTTAAACCATTTAAATAATACCTCTCTTTTTTCCAATTGACATCTTTATCTATTTCTAGAGTTTTTAGTATTTAATAAGGGTAAATAAATACAAGAATGTATTTTTCTGCATTTCCAACTGAGGTACTGGGTTCAACTCACTGGGGCTTGTTGGACAGTGGGTGCAGCCCACAGAGTGTAAGCTGAAGCAGGGTGGGGCATCACCTCACACGGGAACCACAAGCGACTGGGGAATTCCATTTCCTAGCCAAGGGAAGCCATGACAGACGGTACATGGAAAATCAGGACACTCCCATGCTAATACTGCACTTTTCCAATGGTCTTAGCAAATGGCACACCAGGAAATTATATCCCACGCCTGGCTCGGAGGGTCCCACGCCCACAGAGCCTCACTCATGGCTAGCACAGCAGTCTGAGATTGAACTGAGAGGCTGAAGGAGGGGCATCCACCACCGCTGAGGCTTGAGTAGGTAAACAAAGCGACCAGGAAGCTCAATCTGGGTGGAGCCCACCACAGCTCAAGGAGGCCTACCTGCCTCTGTAGACTCCACCTCTAGGGGCAGGGCATAGCTGAACAAAAGGCAGCAGAAACTTTTGCAGACTTAAACGTCCCTGTCTGACAGCTTTGAAGACAGTAGTGGTTCTCCCAGCACGGAGTTTGAGATCTGAGAACAGACAGACTGCCTCCTCAAGTGGGTCTCTGAGCCCAAGTAGCCTAAGTGGGAGACACCTCCCAGTAGGGTGACACCTCACACAGCTGGGTGCCCCTCTGAGACAAAGATTCCAGAGGAACGATCAGGCAGCACCATTTGCCATTCTGCAATATTTGCTGTTCTGCAGCCTCCACTGGTGATACCCAGGTAAACAGGGTCTGGAGTAGACCTCCAGCAAACCTGCAGCTGAGGGTCCTGACTGTTAGAAGGAAAACTAACAAACAGAAAGGACATCCACACCAAAACCCCATCTGTATGTCACCATCATCAAAGACCAAAGGTAGATAAAACCACAAAGATGGGGAGAAACCAGAGCAGAAAAGCTGAAAATTCTAAAAATCAGAGTGTCTCTTCTCCTCCAAAGGAACGCAGCTCCTAGTCAGCAACGGAACAAAGGTGGATGGAGAATAACTTTGACAAATTGACAGAAGTAAGCTTCAGACGATTGGTAACAACAAACTTCTCCGGGCTAAAGGAGGATGTTCGAACGCATTGCAAAGAAGCTAAAAACCTTGAAAAAAGATTAGATGAAAGGCTAACTAGAAAAAACAGCATAAATAAGACCTTAAATGACCTGGTGGAGCTGAAAATCATGGCACGAGAGCTATGTGATACATGCACAAGCTTCAGTAGCCGATTCAATCAACTGGAAGAAAGGGTATCAGTGACTGAAGATCAAATGAATGCAATGAAGCAAGAAAACAAGGTTAGAGAAAAAAGAGTAAAAAGAAATGAACAAAGCCTCCAAGAAATATGGGACTATGTGAAAAGACCAAATCTACATCTGATTGGTGTACCTGAAAGTGATGGGGAGAATGGAACCAAGTTGGAAAATACTCTGCAGGATATTATCCAGAACTTCCCCAACCTAGCAAGGCAGGCCAACATTCAAATTCAGGAGATACAGAGAATGCCACAAAGATACTCCTTGAGAAGAGCAACTCCAAGACACATAATTGTCAGATACACCAAAGTTGAAATGAAGGAAAAAATGTTAAGGGCAGCCAGAGAGAAAGGTTGGGTTACCCACGAAAGGGATGCCCATCAGATTAACAATGGATCTTTCCACAGAAAGTCTACAAGCCAGAAGAGAGTGAGGGCCAATATTCAACATTCTTAAAGAAAATAATTTTCAACCCAGAATTTCATATCCAGCCAAACTAAGCTTCATAAGTGAAAGAGAAATAAAATCCTTTACAGACAAGCAAATGCGGAGAGATTTTGTCACCACCAAGCCTGCCTTACAATAGCTCCTGAAGGAAGCAATAAACATGGAAAGAACGACTGGTACCAGGCACTGCAAAAACATGCCAAATTGTAAAGACCATCGATGCTAGGAAGAAACTGCATCAACTAACGAGCAAAATAACCAGCTAACATCATAATGACAGGATCAAATTCACACATAACAATATTAACCTTAAATGTAAATGGGCTCAATGTTCCAATTAAAAGACACAGACTGGCAAATTGGATAAAGAGTCAAGACCCATCAGTGTGCTGTATTGAGGAGACCCATCTTATGTGCAGAGACACACATAGGCTCAAAATAAAGGGATGGAGGAAGATCTACCAAGCAAATGGAAAATAAAAAAAAGCAGGGGTTGCAATCCTAGTCTCTGATAAAACAGAATTTAAACCAACAGAGATCAAAAGAGACAAAGAGGGCCATTACATAACGATAAAGGGATCAGTTCAACAAGAAGGGCTAACTATTCTAAATATATATGCACCCAATACAGGAGCACCCAGATTCATAAAGCAAGTCCTTAGAGACCTACAAAGAGACTTAGACTCCCACACAATAATAACATCCCACTGTCAACATTAGACAGATCCACGAGACAGAAAGTTAACAAGGATATCCAGGACTTGAACTCAGCTGTGCACCAAGTGGATGTAATAGACATGTACAGAACTCTCCATCCCAAATCAACAGAATATACATTCTTCTCAGCACCACATCACACTTATTCCAAAACTGACCACATAGTTGGAAGTAAAGAACTCCTCAGCAAATGTAAAAGAACAGAAATTATAACAAACTGTCTCACAGACCACAGTGCAATCAAACTAGAACTCAGGATTAAGAAACTCACTCAAAACCGCTCAACTACATGGAAACTGAACAACCTGCTCCTGAATGACTACTGAGTACATAACAAAATGAAAGCAGAAATAAAGATGTTCTTTGAAACCAATGAGAGCAAAGACAACACATAGCAGAATCTCTGGGACACATTTAAAGCAGTGTGTAGAGGGAAATTTATAGCACTAAATGCCCACAAGAGAAAGCAGGAAAGATCTAAAATTGACACCCTAACATTGCAATTAAAAGAACTAAAGAAGCAAGAGCAAACACATTCAAAAGCTAGCAGAAGGCAAGAAATAACTATGATCAGAGCAGAACTGAAGGAGATAGAAACACAATAAAACCCTTCAAAAAATCAATGAATCCAGGAGCTGATTTTTTGAAAAGATCAACAAAGTTGATAGACCACTAGCAAGACTAATAAAGAAGAAAAGAGAGAAGAATCAAATAGATGCAATAAAAAAATGATAAAGGGGATATCACCACCGATCCCACAGAAATACAAACTACCATCAGAGAATACTATAAACACCTCTATGCAAATAAACTAGAAAATCTAGAAGAAATGGATAAATTCCTCGACACATACACTCTCCCAGACTAAACCAGGAAGAAGTTGAATCCCTGAATAGGTCAATATCAGGCTCTGAAATTGAGGCAATAATTAATAGCTTACCAACCAAAAAAAGTCCAGGACGAGATGGATTCACAGCCTAATTCTACCAGAGGTACAAAGAGGAGCTGGTATCATTCCTTCTGAAACTATTCCAATCAAGAGAGAAAGAGGGAATCCTCCCTAACTCATTGTATGAGGCCAGCATCATCCTGATACCAAAGCCTGGCAGAGACACAGCAAAAAAAGAGAATTTTAGAAAAATATCTCTGATGAACCTCGATGCAAAAATCCTCAATAAAATACTGGCAAAACGAACCCAGCGGCACATCAAAAAGCTTATCCACCATGATCAAGTGGGCTTCATCCCTGGGATGCAAGGCTGGTCCAACATACAAAAATCAATAAACATAATCCAGCATATAAACAGAACCAAAGACAAAAACCACATGATTATCTCAATAGATGCAAAAAAGGCCTTTGACAAAATTCAACAGCCCTTCCTGCTAAAAACTCTCAATAAATTAGGTATTGATGGGATGTATCTCAAAATAATAAGAGCTGTTTATAACAAACCCACAGCCAATATCATACTGAATGAGCAAACACTGGAAGCATTCCCTTTGAAAACTGGCACAAGACAGGGATGCCCTCTCTCACCACTCCTATTCAACATGATGCTGGCAATCAGACAGGAGAAAGAAATAAAGGGTATTCAATTAGGAAAAAAGGAAGTCAAATTGTCCCTGTTTGCAGATGACATGATTGTATATTTAGAAAACCCCATCGTCTCAGCCCCAAATCTCCTTAAGCTGATAAGCAACTTCAGCAAAATCTCAGGGTACAAAATCAATGTGCAAAAATCACAACCATTCCTATACACCAATAACAGACTAACAGAGAGCCAAATCATGAGTGAACTCCCATTCACAATTGCTTCAAAGAGAATAAAATACCTAGGAATCCAACTTACAAGGTTTGTGAAGGACTTCTTCACGGAGAACTACAAACCAATGCTCAATGAAATAAAAGAGGACACAAACAAATGGAAGAACATTCCATGCTCATGGATAGGAAGAATCAATATTGTGAAAATGGCCATACTGCCCAAGGTAATTTATAGATTCAATGTTATCCCCACCAAGCTACCAATGACTTTCTTCACAGAATTGGAAAAAAACTACTTTAAAGTTCATATGGAACCAAAAAAGAGCCCACATTGTCAAGACAATCCTAAGCCGAAAGAACAAAGCTGGAGGCATCATGCTACCTGACTTCAAACTATACTACAAGGCTACAGTAACCCAAATAGCATGGAACTGGTACCAAAAAACAGATATAGACCAATGGAACAGAACAGAAACCTTAGAAATAATACCACACATCTACAACCATCTGATCTTTGACAAACCTGACAAAAACTAGAAGGATTCCCTATTTAATAAATGGTGCTGGGGAAACTGGCTAGCCATATGTAGAAAGCTGAAAGTGGAGCCCTTCCTCACACCTTATACGAAAATTAATTCAAGATGGATTAAAGACGTAAATGTTAGACCTATAACCATAAAAATCCTAGAAGAAAACCTAGGCAATACCATTCAGGACATAGGCATGGGAAAGGACTTCATGACTAAAACACCAAAAACAATGGCAACAAAAGCCAAAATTGACAAATGGGATCTAATTAAATGAAAGAGCTTCTGCACAGCAAAAGAAACTACCATCAGAGTGAACAGGCAATCTACAGAATGGGAGAAAATTTTTACAATCTACCCATCTTACAAAGGACTAATATCCAGAATCTACAAAGAACTTAAATTTACAAGAAAAAATCAAACAACCCCATCAAAAAGTGGGCAAAGGATATGAACAGACACTTCTCAAAAGAAGACATTTATGCAGCCAACAGACATATGAAAAAATGCTCATCATCACTGGCCATCAGAGAAATGCAAATCAAAACCACAATGGGATACCATCTCACACCAGTTAGAATGGAGATCATTAAAAAGTCAGGAAACAACAGGTGCTGGAGAGGATCTAGAGAAAAAGGAACACTTTTACACTGTTGGTGGGACTGTAAACTAGTTCAACCATTGTGGAAGTCAGTGTGGTGATTCCTCAAGGATCTAGAACTAGAAATACCATTTGACCCAGCCATCCTATTACTGGGTATGTACCCAAAGAATTATAAATCATGCTGCTATAAAGACACATGCACACGTATGTTTATTGCGGCACTATTCACAATAGCAAAGACCTGGAACCAACCCAAATGTCCATCAATGATAGACTGGATTAAGAAAATGTGGCACATATACACCATGGAATACTATGCAGTGATAAAAAAGGATGAGTCCATGTCCTTTGTAGGGACATGGATGAAGCTGGAAACCATCATTCTCAGAAAACTATCGCAAGAATAGAAAACCAAACACCGCATGTTCCCACTCATAGGTGGGAATTGAACAATGAGAACACTTGGACACAGGGTGGGGAACATCACACATCGGGTCCTGTTGTGGGGTTGTTGCGGGGGGAGGGATAGTATTAGGAGAAATACCTAATGTAAATGATGAGTTAATGAGTGCAGCACACCAACATGACACATGTATACATATGTAACACACCTGTATGTTGTGCACATGTACCCTAGAACTTAAAGTGTAATATAAAAAAAAAGAATGGGTTTTAAGCTATAGATAAAAACCCTCATAAGAACAAAAATAAAATGCAAAACTTGAAAAAATATGAAACAGAATAGCAATAAGCTTTACCATAATACAAATTGAAACATAAGTAGACTATGGACTAAAAACTAGTATATAAACAGAACTCTCCCGAAGTCAATGCGAAAATGACAGAAAAACAGAAAAATGTGAAAGAGATCTTTTTAAACAATTTACAGGAGACAACAGCTCAACAAGCATAAAGGGAGATGCTCAGGCTTGTTGGCAATCAGACAGTGGTAAGATGGACACCTAAAGTGTGATGAGTACGCCCCAGGAAATGTTTTGCAGCAGGGAGAAGCAATGGACTGGATGTATACATCAAAGCCAAGATGGATCTTTAAGACATAGAAAGAAGGGGAAAATGTAATAAACAAAATGTAAGTTTTGACACACTCGAAGTAATAGCACACGTATTATAAAATGTATACGACCAAAGAATATACATTAGAAAGGTTGCCTATGGAGTAAAAGGGAAATGGAGTGGGGAAGGAGGATAAAAAGTAAAATAAAATACACACAATACAAAGTGAAAAATATGACACATTCAAAACAATAGTCCACATATTATATACTTATTATTTATATCTATATATACACACACTAAATACATTAAAATAAAGAAATAAAACTGTATTTTCAGCTAATTAGTATAGTTGTATAGCTAATGTACTGCACTCTAAATACTTTGACTTTTAATTATATTGTTCCTGCACCGGTTTTATTTACTCCTTGCTAATATTTATCCCCCACTTTTTTTTTGAGACAGGGTCTTGCTTTGTTGCCCAGCCTAGCGTGCAGTGGTGTGACTCTAGCTCACTACAGCCTCTGACCTCCCAGGCATAAGTGATCCTCCTGCCTCAGCCTCCCACCATCAGGACTGCAGGGATGCGCCACTACAATCAGTGAATATTTTTAAAATTTATTTTTGTGCAGAGACCGGGCCTTACTATGTTGCCCAGGCTGGTTTTAAACTAATGGGCTCAAGCTATCCTCCTGCCTTGGCTTCCCAAAGTGCTGGAACTGCAGGCAAGAGCCACCATGCCCAGCTTCTTCTCTCTTTTAACTTTATTTGTACATTGCCTTAATCTTTCAGAACAATGTTTAACAATGAACATAATAATGGCTATTTTATGTAATTTTTAAATTAAATTTTAATTAAAATTATAATTTTTAAAAAACAATTACAAATTAAAATGCAACAGATTGGTAGTTTTCAAGTATAATCTGTGAGAATTTTGAGGAAATTAGCATCTTGTAAACATATCTATGACCTCATCATGCTCCTAGTTCCCTGATGGAGACACATAACTATGATAGTAAACAGCCAGCGGATTCAAGAAAAAGCATCGGTTGCCAGTGAATCTTGGATGAACGGTACCCATGCTGCAGGCAATGAGTTCAGAAGAGCCTGGGATAGATCCTGTGGAAAACATTTTTACTGAACATTATTCACACTGCAGTCTACAAAGAAGAAGGCTTGTCTGTCTGAGCTGTGGGGTCTGGTGGGCACAAGAAAAAAAGTCACTCACCACTCAAGAGAACCCAATAGCTTGTATGAACACTAAAGTAAACCATCAAAATCACACCAAGTCTATTTCACACACACTGACATGGCTACTATAAAACAAAATAACAAGTGTTGGTGAAGAGGCAAAGAAATAGGAATTCTTGTGCACGTTGGTAAGAATGTAGAATGGTACAGTCACTGTAGAAAACAGTATGGAGGTTCTATAGGAAACTAAAAATGGAATTACTATGTGATCCATCAATTACGTTTCTGGGTAAGTAATTGAAGGCAGAGACTTGAAGAGATATAGTTGTAAGCCCATGTTAATAACAACATTATTTGCAATAGCAAAATATGGAAGCAATCTACATGTGTATCCATGAATGAATGGATATGTGGTACATATAATCCATTATGTAATGTGGTATATACATAAAATGGAATATTATTCAGCCTTAAAAAGCCAATTCTGACACATGTTACAACATGTGTGTACTTTGAGGACATTTTTATATTTGAGGACATATTTATATTTCTATTGTGCAGAGTAGGGTAGTGACGAAAAGACAAATACTCCATGATTCCACTTATATAAGACACCTAGAGTAAAAAAAGAAACACAGAGACAGAAAGTGAAATGGTGGTTTTTAAGGGTTGGGGGAGGGAAGAAAGAAGAGTTAGAGTGTAATGGGTACAGAATTTCAGTTTTGCAAGATGAAAAGAGCTCTTAAATAGACTTTACCACAATTTAAAATAAAAAAATCTAAAACTCACGGCAGGGACTTCTACCAAGGCATATTTAATAGCAGAGAAAGACACGTTCTCAAAAAGAAACTACCAAAAATTGTAAGGAAGGACTTGGAATGGGGCAATTTGAGGATGTAAAGAACTGGGTCTATTAAGACAAAATTATTTCAGAAAAAAAGCTTAAATGAATAATAGAATTGAGATTTCTAGAAGCCAAATATGTGATCTGAAATAAGTGAGGTTATCTCAAAATACAGCATGTATTACTGTATCGATGGGCCTCTAGGCTCTGAAGGTAGACTGCCAGGTCTAAAATTAAGCTCAGCCCTTATCAGCAGCTAGCATTAGTATATAACATTAGTTGTTGATGTTATATTCAAATAAAATTTATTATTAACACTAGTAAGCAAAATGCAAAAAATGAATATTGTGAGTGAAAAGACAAGCAATGTGAATGGATTCAGGAAATCTAGATCCAAAGGTGAGTTCCAGAGAGAAACAGATTGAGGAGAAACAATAACAAAAAATAATAATAATAATAAAAGACAATTTCTGGGCTGAAGAACAATTCAAAATGTTAAGATTGAAACACGTCCTGGTGACATTTCTAAACTCCAAGTTTAAGAGAAAATGTCACAAGCTTCCAGAAATTGGAAGTTATTTACTTACAAAGAAAGAAAATCATATCAGTGTCAGGGCCCTCGCAACTGAAACATTAAATATACAAAGCAGTGGAACAAACAAACAAAAACAAAGAAAACATAAATAAATAAAAAGAAGAAACAAAATAAAACGAAGAACAAAGAGACAAAACAGGTGATCTTAGGACCAATACCCAAGCCATCATATCATTTATCTGTTAACTACAAAGATTTAAGCTCTGTATTGTGGCCTTGTCCTTTTGGAGTGTTTGTCATTTTCTTCTGCTACAGAATCCTGTCTACAAAAAAATCACACTCGTTTTGCTAATATTTGTTGCACTTTCAGTGTTTGAAGAATCATTATATTCCCCCTCAAATACTCCTCCTAAATGTAATTGTCATAATATTCTAGAAAACCCAAAAGTATAGAGATGATAAAGCTATCAGTGACTGTCAGTGGTCCAGGAGTATGGGAAGATAACTGAATAGGTGAGCAACAGGGGATTTCTTTAGAGCAGTGACACTTTTCTGTATAATACTGTAATGCTAAGCTCAAGATACTAAGCATTTGTCAAAACTCATACAACTTAACAGCATGTTATGCCATTAAAAGTAAGCCATTTAAAAAGATCATTTAGGAGTTTTGAAGTATGCCAGGAAGAAATGCAGAATCTGACCAATCAATGCAAATGTATTACAAATGTATGAAAAAACCTCATAGACGGATGAGTGGAAATAAGATATTGACCTAGGAAAATGGGGAAATGAGATGGAGTCTGTAAAACTAAAGGGAAAAGGAACTGCACGTAAGCACTGTACTCTGGTTACTAAAGCTGTTTTCTACAGGGGTATAGGTCTACAATTCTGAAAGCACTATCCATGTCTACAAAAATTAAATGACTAATTAAATGGTTAGGGGATGGAACCATTTTAATGGAATGTTATATAGAAACCAGGTTTCTCACTGTTGGAGTGAAAGATTACAGTTAAGCTAATGGAGAAGACTGGAATGATCCCTGTGGTAATAGACTGTAGTTGGAAATAATATAAAATTGTATTTAGATCAATTTAGATACAGATGATTGCATATACAAATATTTATAGATATGTGTATATTCACGGATCTCTACATAGACTCAGGTCTCTTAGCTCTGTCAGCTGAGAAGCCCAGCAAGCAACACAGTGCTCAGTTGTCGCTTCTAGTATTATTCTCCAACAAAAGCACCAGTGGTCTTTGGAGAAATGGCTGATTCTAGGACTTGGTCTTGCAATCTACAAGAGCCTGGGACATCTTGTAGGGCTGAAGTCAGAAAGTGGTTAAATAAATAAATTCCCACAATAACGGGGATACATCAGGTGATACAGGTGCTGAGAGCTGTGCCCAAAGCTGGAACAACTTGAGCAACAAAACAAATAGAGTACTATTGAATTATAACCCACATTACAAGATAAATATGAATGAGCCCATACTAATATAAATAAATGGTTGAATAAAGAAATAAATGGGAGAATAGATAAATATCCCATGCTAAAGAATTCTAAATGATTTACATAGATACTCCACCCTTACGGAGGTGGACCATGATTTCTCACTCCTTGAGCGTGGGCTGCACACAGTGGATTTCTTCTGAAAAGCACAGTAAGGAAATAAGGGACAGCAACTTTCCAGGGATATGGGAAGGAACTTGACAACTTTATCAAGTCTGGTGATTAAAGTTACTATCAACCATGACCTTGCATTTTGATACTACGGACTCTTGACATGATGTGATAACAATGGGACTTCTGTGGTCTTATTCTCCAACATATTACCCCAATCTATTCATTTTAAAAAAAGCATCAGATTAAATACCAATTAATGGGCATTCTAAAAAATACCTGATCAGTATGCCTTAAAACTCTCATGATCACCAAAAACAGGAAAAGACTGGGAAACTGTCACAACCAGCAGGAGGCTAGGAAGGCCTGAGTACTACAACAGAAAATGACATTAGTCTAAAACCAAGGAAATCTGGATAAGGTATGGACTCAGTTACTAACAGCGGACAATATTGGTTCATCAATTGTGACAAATGTACTATTCTAATGTAAGATGTTAATAACAGGGGAAAATGAGTGTGAGGTATACAGGAACTCCCTGTACTATCTTTGCAATAATTACCTCAATCTGAAACTGTTCTAAAATAAGGCAGTTAATTAAATAAATTTGTAAAAGCTGCAAAGCTGCTCTCTCTATATATAAATAGGATATTATAAAATAAAATATATATTATAAAATATATTATGTATATTTTTGTATAATTCCCACATGTAATGAGAATTTATCAAATTGCATCTGACAAAGTCAGAACAATTAATAACTGTAAGAACTGTCTGACCTTTATTCATTTTTAATATAATAGAGCATAGCTTTCAATATTTTAATTAAATAAAACTTTCTTTTTGTGTCTGGTATGTCCAATAATTATTTTGTTGTTAATTTTTTTCATATTTTATCAATTAAACCTTAAGCTATGTTTAAGGCAGACCATGCAAATAATAAATAAAAAGATTCAGGACCATATAGGAATCCTTTTGAATCTAATCAACAACAAAAGAAAAATCATTTTATACATGTGTGGCCCTAATCACTGCCATGAAGACCCAGATTTATCTTTTGCCTCAGAAAAAGACTAGAACATAAAAATATTTCAAGCTACGTAGATGGTTTTCTGGTATTAAAATCCTCCATAGTTACAATAAAATATTTTTAAATATCTTTAAAAAAATGGAAAGGAGTGGCTTGAATGTAGAATAATATGTGAATCTAGATTAATATATATAATTCTTTAAATCATGTAAAATATTAAAATTTGGAAAAAATTGAGTAATAGAAAAGTTATATTCTTTAAACTGCAAACATTTTGAAATGTTTAAAGTTTATATATATGTTAATTATATTTTGAATTTTTAAAAATAAAATGAAATCATTGTAGACTATTTTAAATTTACATAAAATCTCATCTACAGAAATATCTTGCAAACAGCTATTATTCTTGGAGAAATACCTGTGTCAGTGGCTCTTGCATTTACAGAAAATTTTCTTCCCTGAGAGAATAATTATGAAGGTTAGATCAATATACACATTGGATAGATATGTGTAATTTTAGACATACATTTTATAAAATCGTTTTAAACAGACAGAATGTCCTCCCATTCTTTGCTAGAATAGTGTTCTTTAAATCTGAAATATTTATTTACTGACATTTTTCTTTGAAGATTTGGGGCAATATGTGACTCAAAGGTGAAGGAGGAATTTTAATGCAAATTATGAAGATCAAAGGAGCTGAAGAGGTAGAAAGCATACTTAGTAATCATTTTCGTTTTTACCATACCAGTCTTTCTCTGTTTTCCAGGGTTTCCAATTACAGAACCATAAACTCATTTATATTATATATGATAGACAGTGTAGTTTCTCTTTCATTCCCACAAACACATAAATATGATATAAATATCCCTGTGTGTGTGTGCGCGTGTGTGTGTGTGTGTGTTTGCCATATAACTGCTGGCAAAGGTCCTTCAAGGGTCTTCCTATGGACATAGAAAACACATTCTCACCCTGGCCATTATTTGCCCCTGTCTGTCTACACAGTGGTCACAGTTCCCATGCATGACTTTCACTGAGCCTTTGTATTCTCCACACAGGTGTTCATTTTTTTTTCTCCATGTTCAAATGATCATTTTCTGCTATGCTCATGATTGGAAGTTAATAAAGCAACATCTGACAGCTGCCTCTAGATCTTCAATATAGTTAATGGAGTTAAAAACTTTTCACAATGTCCTAAAGCATGTCCAATAAGCCATCTAACTGACATGACTGTTGACCAAAATTTGACTTATCAAGTGATCTTATGAAATTGATACCAAAATATGACACTAAGAGGCTGTCATGTTAGAAGGGCTCAGAGGCCCTCTGCCCAACTTCATTTCCTGTCATGCTTCTCCTCACTCCTGCTCCAGTCACACATTCCCTTTCAAAGAGTCTTCCAATTACCCAAGATCCCTCCCATCTCAGGACATTTACAGGAAATACTCTTTGTCTTTCCCCATTTCAACCTCCTTGATTTCTACACATTTCAGCGGAATCACGTCCTCATGGGAGCCTTCACTGACCCCCTCAACAAAGGCATGCCTCCCTGCCATACACTCTGCGAGCAGGATATACTTCTCCTTCTTAGCACTTACTATACTTATATACAGTTTTCCCTGGTATGATAACCTGATAAATATCTGTCTCTTTGATTAGATAAAAATAATATAATGATAGGCAAAATCTGATAAGGAGTACCTAACACAGTGCCCTGCACATAGTAAGTGTTCAATAAATAACTGCAAGTGGAATAGCTGTATCTATATATACATATATGTGTGCAGACGCATTACAAGTGTATTACGTAAGAGATAATGAGTGTGCATGGAATGTAAAGAATGTAATTTTAAAATGTGTTTATTATAAAGCATCCAAAGTTATTCAGTTTCCTCTTTGAAATGTTCACAGTAGCCTTTGGATATTGCAAGTTTGGGGGAGAAAGAGAAAACATATCAGGAATGCAATCATTGGAATTACAGAAAAGCAATATTTAGTGATTGGCTTTTTCTCTTCAAATATCACTTTGGAGAAGCCTTTTCAGAACTTTCAAAATGGGCTCCATTCTTATTCATGTTGAATCAACTTGCTTTTTTATAGCACCTTTCACTTCTCTTATCAAAATCATATTTGTTCATTGTCTGTCTTCCTATCACAATTTAAGATTCATGAGGACAAGCCCTTTCTCCACTTCATTCATTTCTGGATTTCCCATGCCTAAAACAGAGCATTGTGAAGGCACTAAATAAGTGTTTATTTAATCAATTAATTTCAACTGAATGAATTAAGGCATTTCATGGAACTGTAACCACTGGCTAAAAGTTGACTCAAAACTTCCCTATCCAACTAATAGATTTCAGATTCTTTCTCTGATATAGGTAAAAAATAATCTTAATTAGTTTAAATTGCATAACTAAATTGCACAAATGTAAAATAAACATTTCAAAATTCACCAAAGGGTGTTTTTCCTAAACAGTGAATTGTTTCATTTACATAGGTGATATTCCTGAGGCATACTATCATTGTTCTCAATCTTACGTAACACAAAAAAGAGTAAGCATTGTCTATAACAGACAATAGCCAATGTTGCTCATTGCTCTAACAAAGTTATATTCAGAATGACTCATGCCAGGTCCTTACTATACTCTCTGTATAGAAAAGGCTCACTAACCTAATTAAAACCCCAATCCATGACATTCAAGATGATTTCCCACTTAGTGGTTGATGGCTGATTTTCACTGTCTTTCACACTATATTTGGTTCCTGAAGGAGAAAAAAAAATTCATATGGTAGAACGTAGAAGAACACTGGGAAAAAAATAAAAAATGAAAAGGCCTTAGGAAGCACCTGACAGGAGGAGTAATAAGTAAAGGCAGCAAGGTCAAAAGCAACGTGTCAGTTATGAATGATTGTATCTGTCCCGTGGCACATTGTCGTTCATGAAGGTTGATAACCATTCAATGCAAACAGAAGAACAGTACTTTATGGCAAAATTATTGGACATAACTCAGCTCACTTGTCTTCCCTGAGGGGTGGGGAATAATGAGAGAGAAAATAAAACAAATGTATGCATGTGAAACAGCAACTGTGTATAAAGGAACAACAAATTCCAAGCCAAGATGCTTGTACCAATTTCTCTTCCCAGAGAACACTTGCATACATTGGGTATAAATGAATAAAAGTCTTTTGAGGAGTGCTAAAAGCAAAATGTTCAACGTGAAATTTTCTGAAAACCAATACTATCTAACAGTACATAAAAATAAAATATAGAAATATGTTACTACTCATAAAAGTCTATACTGTATACATATAAGGGAATCGGATAATTTTCTGCTTGAATAAATTGCTGGATTCTCCAAAATAGAAAAGCTATTTTGTATTTCCTTAACAATATACAAGTCAAAATACCCAAACTTTTACTCTCAAACTATACTAATGAATTAGAAAGATATACTGAAAAAAAAGAAGTATAAACCTAAAAAATGAACCTTACGCTAAAACAACAAAGCATTAAATGAAGAATTAAGTCTATAACAGAAGAGAGAAGTCTAGCCATCAATTCATGCAGGATGGGAATTAAGTGGGATAAAAATTGGTTTACTGTTCATGGGGTCAGGGGAGGGAGAGAGTTAGGAAAAATAGCTAATATATGATGGGCTTAATACATACGTGATGGGTTGATAGGCACAGCAAACTACCATGGCACACATTTATCTATGTAACAAACCTTCACATCCTGCACATGTACACCAGAACTTGAAATAAAAATTAAAATTAAAAAATGGCTTATTAACTAAAGATTAGAATCCCAACATGATAAATTTATTTTTTTCTTACTTACTCAACTCATATATGGCGCATCAAGTCTACATTAGGCACCCTTCTATTTGCTGGTAAAATGTTAAAATAATAGAAACACAACTTAAATTTATGCTTGTTTTACACAAATTCGAACAAGGCATATTTAACTTGCTCAATACATTTTAATACTCCTTAGCGCAGGTGAGGACACATAATGAAACCTGCACAGATACAATCCACATTAAGGTCAAATTTTCATTCAAATCCAATTAATATTAAGTGTCTTTTATGTGCCAATAGAGCTGGGTGTCACATGGGAACATAAGAATACATGATTTAAGGAGCTCACAGATAAAAGGCAAGGAAAACATGTAATGATTATACTTGTGTGTGAGCAAATTTTATTATATTATAGCAAAAAGGGAGAGTACTTTAGTGGGCTATCAGTGAAATGAAGGACCTGTATGAAATTAGCAAGGTGTAATATAAAGTGTGTAGCACTTGAAATGGGCCTCGGAAGGTGAACAGGATACCAGCAAGAGCATAAAGAAAATGAGGAGGCCGGGGCATGGTGGCTCATGCCTGTAATCCCAGCGCTTTGGGAGGCCGAGGTGGGTGGATCACGAGGTCAAATCAAGACCATCCTGGCTAACACAGTGAAGCCCCATGTCTACTAAAAATACAAAAACAAAATTAGCCGGGCATGGTGGTGGGTGCCTGTAGTCCCAGCTACTTGGGAGGCTCAGGCAGAAGAATGGCATGAACCCAGGAGGCAAAGCTTGCAGTGAGCCAAGACTGTGCCACTGCACTCCAGCCTGGGCAACAGAGTGAGCCTCCATCTCAAAAAAAAAAAAAAAAAAAAAGGAAAATGGAGAAATTCCAAGCAAAGAAACCAAGAAGCGGCATGATTGAAGGCACTGGAGTATGGAAGTGTCTGAATATTATGGGAATCTCGAATAGTCTGAGATGTTGAGAACATCAATAGTGAGTTAAAGACCTTAAGAAGTAATGACTGGGTACATTGGCCATATTCTGAAAGCGTCTATGACAAGGATTTGTGGGATGAGTCAGGGCAGGAATCTTAAAGATGGTAGGGAATTTGGGGAGGTGAAGCTCAGAAGCCTGAGAGTAGGCATGGCCTTGGAATAAGCGGGAGAATTGAAGGGTCACATTGAAGATCAAGTTGACATTAGATATCATAAATTCATTAATGGAACTGATCAATATGAGATCAATATCAAGAACTAGAAATTAGATGAAGATAATTGAACGTATGGGGGTAAAATATCTAGGATAGGGCTGAGAATATTGGGGGCTATAGCAGGTATCAAAAATACCCACAGGCTTAGCAGCAACTGGACACAGGCTCTGAGTACCAAGTGACTCTATTTGTTTTGTTTTGTTTTATTTTGAGATGGAATCTCACTCTGTTGCCCAGGCTGGGGTACAATGGCATGGCCTCGGCTCACCGCAACCTCCACCTCCCGGGTTCACGTGATCCTCCAGCTTCAGCCTTCTGAGTAGCTGGGATCACAGGTGTGCACCACCACGCCCGGCTCATTTTTGTATTTTTAGTAGAGATGGGGTTTCACCACCAGGCTGGTCTTAAACTCCTGACCTCAGGCAATCCACCTGTCTCGGCCTCCTGAAGTGCTGGGATTACAGGTGTGAGCCACCACGCCCGGCCTAAGTGACTCTATTTGACTCCCAGTCACATTACACATTACACATTACATTAGTATGTGACTTTGGACAAGTCACTCAATTTATTCTGGCTTTGTTTTCCTCAGTTGTAACGTGAAGATAACAGTAATACATATTTACAGTCCCTTAATGCAAGCCTTTGTCGTCAAGTGTGTTTTTAAATTTAGAATTGCTTAAACTTTAGAAAGTTCTTATAGTACACATACCATATACTAGGTGTAATAGCCCAGTAAGTTTGTAATAGCAGTTCCATAATAACATACAGGAATACTTCCAAAGTAAAATATATGGCTATTTATGTTCAATGGAATAAATTCAGACTACAGATAGGCTCATGTCAGTTTTTGTCAAATTTGATGGCAAGTGAGTTACAATTTTTTTAAAGAGCTTCAGAGCTTTTTAGACTTTGAATTTATGGTTATTTCTCTGGAATAGATTTTATGCAAATCTAAAAGAGTCTACAGCTAATTTCATCTTATTCTGAAAATACAAAATGGGATTAACTTATACGTAAACTTTAAACATTTCAGTATGCTTGCGGTTTAAATAATGTAACTTTTCTATTACCTGATTTTTTTTTCAAATTTTTGACATTTCAAATGATTGAAAGAGTTTCTGGATAGGGGTGTGTGAACTTTAGCACCTAAACCATAAGGTTGTGATCATTAAAAGAGATAATATATGTGAAGGATTTTGGAGAGCATCTGGACCTGGAAGCACTCAGTAGTTCCTGTGGTGGTGAGGATGGTGGTGTTTATGAAGGAAAAGAAGAGGCAGAGATTAGGAGAATAAGGGGAATTTGGGGTTACCATGAGATAGAAAAGTCATTTGAGAAATAAAATGGCAGAAGATCGTATTCAGGGATTAAAATTTCAGAGTTAAAGATTTCAGAATCAGATCAGAACAATTTCAGGTGAAGAAGACTTTTCTGAAGCAGTTTCCAAGGTTCAGGTCTAAGAAAAGAAAAAAGAGAAGTCAGATAAACCTATGCATGAGCTTCATAAAGAAGGAAAACCTTTGATGAAATTAATTAAACGTGGAGCTTGCCGTGAAATCTCGGTGAAACGCTTGGAGATCATCCACCCATCTCCTAATTGCCAACGCCTCACCTCCCAAAGCCTCCCTGCCCACCCCAAGGAGAAACTAAGGCAGCAGAGGAAAGTGACGCTGGGTCAAACTGTTCTTTATTCTGTCCACAAGGTGGGAACGTTGATGCTGATCACAGATTCTGGACAGGTAAGAAAGGCAAAGTATTTACAGCTCTTGATGCTTCTAGCTCAGGAAATTAGTGTATGCAATTTGAGATTTAGGCTGCACTCATGTGTATACAGTGATATGCAACATACATAAGCTTCTCACTGGGATTGCATTCAAGGCAAATTCCATGTCTTAAATCTCTGTGTTCCTCTATCAAAGATGCATCCTACACAGAAGATGCTCAGTAAACTGCAAAATGATTGGGACTCTTTTAGCCCTCATGTAGGTATGTTCTATATATAAATTATAATAATATTAACCCCAAAATAGATGTAACTATACTAGGATCTTACACACAGTCTATATAACGCCAATAATAACCCCTAGAAGCCCTATTATTTATCCATTTTACAAATAAGGAAATTGAGGATCAGACTACTTAGGGGATGAAGCCAAAAATACATTGCAGGAAATTTAAGAGATTGAACCCAGATTTGTTTGAATTTGATGTCCGTGCTACCATCCACTACTAGGAACTAGAGAGCTAAATTAACAAGAGGCCATCTGCGAGACATGGTTTAAGCCAGTGTTAGGCAATTGTCATATTTCTCTTTAAAATGGCAATAACAATACTCACTCTATAATCTATTATCTGGACATTTTAACTGCTGAAACACCAGGGTGAGAATTAAAAATAAAATTTTGATTTGGTTTAGCCTCTCAATTTATTACGTATATAAAAATATGATAGCCATGCTCATTAAGGTTTAATATTATGAAAGAGCTGTGTATGTCCCTTAAAGCCTTGGGCAAGAGGACTGAGACCCAAATGCCCATGAATAGTGGATTAATTACTCAGCAATAAATGGTAAGACATTTACAAAGAACAAGGATGCCATATAGAAAGAAAAAATATTGCTTTTATTAATTCATATCCTTGTTCTAAGGATTAAAAATGGAGGAACTAGAATATAAAATATAAAACTAAGCGATAAAACTGGTTAAGAGAAAATTCATGTAAAAATTAAGCAAATTGTAGTGCACTGACTTAGGTGTCAGCATCGACATTCTTCATAGCGACAGTCATTACGGAAAAGAAACTGCAAATATAGACATGCACATACAACACACATTTATATAATCGAAAAGAGGAAGCTAATTAGAAAAGTGTTATGAGACCACATTTAAAAGGAAAAAAATATATATAAAATCCTACCCATAGACTTAAGATGCCAGAATTTATTTTCATTTATCAAAGCCTGAATGTTTTTGTTTGTTTGTTTTGAGATGGAGCCCAGGCTGGAGTGCAGTGGCACGATCTCGGCTCACTGCAACCTCTACCTCCCAGGTTCAAGTGATTCTCTTGCCTCAGCCTCCCAAGAAGCTGGGACTACAGGCATGCCCCACCATGCCCAGCTAATTTTTTGTGTTTTTAGTAGAGACAGGGTTTTACCATGTTGGCCAGGTTGGTCTCAAACTCCTGACCTCAAATGATTCACCCACCTCAACCTCCCAAAGTGCTGGGATTACAAGCGTGAGCCACCGTGCCCAGCCAAAGCTTGAAAATTTTAAAACTGCATGTGGCTAGTAGGAAAAATTACATATATATATCATGACTGATTAGTGATGTCTTTCATAAGTGCTGAATGGGAAAAAAATTCATGCTTTCTGCAGGTATTTTCCATCCCTTAAACTTCATGGTAAGTGACAAATGAACTGAACTCTTTCACTATTCTCAAACTCCATTCATCTATATTTACTTTATTTTGAACTCAATGGAGTGTAACAGAAATAATCCAGCTCTCTATTTATTTGACATGTTTTAACCACTAAGTACCCCATTTTCCTCATTCTGAAACATGAAAACTGTCACATTTACCAAGCAGGCTATTGTGAGGATTGGAAATCAAGGATTTAAAGCTTCTAACATGATGCTTGGCATATGGAAGACATTAACATTTTGCTGATATATATTCATATGTCAACACTCATTAATAAGACTGTTAAAAATATTTTTCTAAAATATAAATAATAATTGTTTAAACAATAGCATCCCTCATCTTATTTTCTTTCCAGTGAAATGTTTTGGGAGAGAGATGAAGAAAAATAAAACTAAGGAAAAATATACATGTATGCTTTAATTTGTCATGGATTAGATTAGTGCTCTGGGATTTGGGCAGGAGGCAAGACTAATGAATGAGCTGGTAGCCTGTGGTTCGAAGGAGACTCTAAGGACAAATAATCACCCTTATTTTAATTTTTAACAATTCAATCGTCCTCCTCCACAACTCCCAGGACCACAGACGTTTCCATGCTAAAACTATTTGTTCTATCAAGAAATGGAGTCAAACGCGGGCTGGAATTCTTTTCCCTCTTACTTCCCTCTCCGGTTTTAAACATCTCAGGAGAATGCACTGAACTCCCTTAATGCAACAGAGAACAGGTACACTGTCCCTCACTTCGCTCTGCCCTTGCAGTTCTCTGCAGCCCATCGAGAACAGTTACATCCTCCCTGTAATGCACACTTGTCAGCCTTTGGTTTAAAAGGAAGAAAAGAAAAGGAAAGAAAAGAAAAGACAGTCACAGACAGATGTGTGGGTATGGATCCATGTATACATACACACACACACGTATATACTTCCACACACACTTACACCCTTCTACCAGAACATATTCAATGCTACTATTCCTTAATAGTCACTGGAGACCATTTTTTCCACAGGGCTGACTCACTGATGATGAATAAAGGGAAGAAGGGGAAATCACAAATAATACATTAAGACCAAACTAAGGTAAAATGTCAAAAGCAATAGCCAAAACTCTATTATTAAGGCTAATAAGGAAAAGACGAATTTTTAAAGCCTAATAAAAAGGGCTTGGGTTTACTTCACATTGTCATTTAATAGCTGCTAAAGGGCAGATTGTCACTCTCTTGGAAAGCCACTCTGGAAGACAAAAAGAGAAAAAATGGCCCCCAAGCACTTTTTAATGATCTGATTAAATATAAAACTATCATATTTTAAAAGGCAAATCCAAAAATAATTCATGTCAACCATGAATATGATTTTTGGAAAGTGTTCTCCCTGTTGTAATCCTATCCTTTTCTCCTTTGTTGCCTTTATTTTTTATTTTTTTTTTCCATTTCACTCTTTGGTTCTTTTGACATTCAGTTTTAAAGAGCCACCCTTTTGTCAGCTAGAGACTCAGAATTTTCTAGTGCCTGATATTAATCCAGTTACTGGTATCTGCTCCCAAGCAAATTCAGGTCAGGATTCTACTGCTTTTGGATAAAAGCTGTATCAAGACTTAGAGAAAAAAAACAAATGTGATTTTTAAAGAAAATATTATTTCTTACCACCAAACACAATTGGAGGAGTTTCTGAAAACCAAATCAGGCAATGCTGAATTGTCCATGTCACAAAAGCAATGAACACATTTATGTAATATTTTAATTGTAACACTGAAAATTACTTTAGTTCTGATTTTTGAAATATCTCTGCAAAAAAGCAGATCTCATATTAGTGTATGTTTTTGTGTAGAAAAGTGAGTATTTTTATTTTTAAATATTGTTTTAGAACTGAACTTAGTTAAGGTTACATTTAAGAATAATTAGCAGCTGGGCATGGTGGCTCATGCCTGTGATCCCAGAACTTTGGGAGGCTGAGGCAGGTGGATCACTTGAAGTCAGGAGATCGAGACCAGACTGGCCAACATGGCGAAACCCCATCTCTACTAAAAATACAAAAATGAGCTAAGCGTGGTGGTGGGTGCCTGTAATCCCAGCTACTCGAGAGGCTGAGGCAGGAGAATCGCTTGAACCTGGAAGGTGCAGGTTGCAGTAAGCTGAGATTGTGCCACTGCACTCCACCCTGGCTGGGCAACAGAGCAAGACTCTATCTAAAAAACAAAAGAAAAAAAAATAAAGAAAAACAAAGAACAAGTGGCATAATTGCAGAAACACACATGAGCTAGATTTCCAAACTCTTGGCTCAATTTTTTTCATTAAACTGATACTCAAAACAAATTGAGTCTTTTTTTCTGTTTTATTTTCGACTATAGATGCTATGTCCATCTCTAAGGTTGCATTGATATTTGTACATGTCATCTCTGTAAGATTAACATCCAACATAAATGATCCATATGAAATAATCACCTCCATTTAGTCTTGTGACATTTGAGTCAGCCTCTTCCTATGTCAAACTGTGTTCATTGTTAGGATGGCCGCCCGTATGCAGATTGAAATCAGCCTCCCTGCTGCATCCTGGCTGTTCTTGAACAGCAGAAGGAAGTGCTTCAGGGTGACATGAATCTGCCAATTTTACACGTCTCTTTTCAGTTTTAGGGAAGGAACACATGACCTCCCTCCTAGGGACTCAATCCCCTAATTTCTCCTCTCCCATTCCTGGAAGCTGAATGGGTGCTCTCATCATTTGACATACATGATGACCTGCCACGGGAACCTCTCCATGTGCCTACATTCTTCTATAGACACTCAGAGCATCACCTGTACTACATAGCTTGCAGACAGAGTGACTCACGGCTTAATGTATTTTGTTTAAACTTTGCCATCACCATTCACTTAGAGCACTTCATTGTAGGTTTATGTTTTTCTGGGGGGTGGGAGGGCATTTTTGTACCAGATTAATCTACCTATCATTTAATATATTATTTAATATTTATTTAATAATAAGCTTCTTAATTATTGGGGAAATAGTCTACCTTAAAAATAGTAGAAATCATCATTATAATATTTGTTCATAGATTGGTAATAACTTCAGGTCCACAGAGAGCAAATTTAGAGTCAAACTGAGCAAACAGGATTGCATTTTGCCATGGAGTGGTAGGTGTGTACAATATCCTAGATCTGTTTGTTGGAACAATATAAATTGCAATCTGACAAAATCTTCTACATAAGATTTAGATGATCCTCAAACAGCCATTGCTAGGCTTCCCAAAACTTGCTAAATTGGAATTAGCACATTTTTTGGTTAATATCAGACTTTCAATTCTAAAGGCATCCTCCAACCTGACAGCATAGGACAGGAAGCCATAAATCTATGGTGAGCACTGCAAGGGCTTAAGAATCTCGCTTCGTAGGAGAACAGTAGATATGAGCAGTACAAGAGATACCAGAGCCTACTTACTGATGGGATTGCCCTGAAGTGAGATAGAAACAGAGTGCAGGCCCAAACTGCTTCTCTTGGAGGCATACTTGAAACAGAAGAGCCAAAAATGAAAATGCTATCATTATTTAGCACTTTTTGTCATTGAAATTTCCAGCCTAATTAGTGAGGCTTCAAAAACTTTCCCCATTGAGGGGGAAATGAAAACTCAGACAAAATAAACTTCAGGAAAAAATTCTAGACAGAAGGTGAAATCTGGCTTAGAAAATGATATAATATAGTAATTACTTTACATAGTTCCAGCAAACCATAGGTCGAGGGTATTCTACATCTAATCATGAAGTATAAAAATGCAATTCTCATTTGTTCAATTTCACTCTAAATCTGTATCTCTGGGGCCAGAAAGCGATTACTACTCTATGCACAAACAATACAGAGTAATAATTATCTTTACTATCCTTATATCCTCTCTTACATTTTGTCTAACTAGCCTTCAGGTTTTATACCATGACTGATGCAAATGTTGTAAGTCTTCTGGTTACTCTATGTTTTTCTGTGTTTACTCTCTATATGTGACATTTTTAACATCTAAAAGATATTTTCTCACCAATAGCTTTGTTATTGTTTTGTTTGAAATGTATTTCTCATACATTGATTACTGTGTTCTGACACAAAGGTATTTTATTGATCATAAAATTGCAAAGGTACTGCAAAGTGGCATTCCATCTCAGGGCTTCACAGAAAATTTTACTAACTACTAGTAATGCCAACATGAGGTTAGAAAAGAGCATGATTTAAATGGAAACTAATAAAAGCAGTAAGACTTTCTAAAGGTTAAATCAATGTGGTTTCCTTTTGAAAATGTCTTCCTGGAAAAAATGCTGTTTTTCTGCACTAGCATCTTTATCAGTCTTCCAGAGGATTCTGCTCATTACTGGGATCATTCATTATTCTTTGTTGTGTTTTAATTATTTTTTGTTGCATCATCAAAGGCAATTTGCTACAGATGGGTCCAGTCATATGCTCCTTCCATCCTTCTTGGCACAAACACACTCACTTTGGCTCTGATCTTCAAAATCTCTGCATCTAAGCCAAACTCTCAACATGTCTTTCAAGTAGAGGGTTTAACCCTTTACTGGCCAGGGGAAAAAAGGCAATAGCAATCTGCCTCTGAAAAGTGGAGAGAAAGACGATTAATTGTAAAAATCACCTTTATGAGCTGCTGACAATCCAATACTATGATAGTGGGAAAAACACAAATGATGTTTTTAACCTTATTAACATGACTAGAAGATATGGGATACGTTGACTAGTGCAGCCATTAATTATTGATGCATTTAGCAAAATTTGCAATAATGAAATGTGTTTCTCATACTCTTTAGTGTGTAAAGCTTTTAAACATTCTCTAACTGGGGCATAATTATCTAGGGGCACAGTAATTACAGGACTTGGTATCTGTAATGCCTCATACTTACTTCACTGCAGCCTCTAACCAGAAATTATAAATAATCCCTTTTAAGATTGCCCATCTTTTCCCACAGTTACTTGTTATTCCCTACTTAAGTTAGTGACTTTCTCCATTCATCTCCAAAGCTAGCATTGGAATGTCAGTGCTTAGAATCAGAGCGCATTGGAAAGCCAGGGTTCAAATCCTGGTGTCACTGGCAGAGTTTCTAAAACATAGCATTTAACAAATTCTAGGATGAAAGTGTGCACAAACATGCACACATACACATACACACACAAACAGATGCATCAAAAGCATCTTCAGAGACAGGAAAAGACATCAGGTATTGTTGTTTTGGCTGATTTGAAGGGGGCACTAACCCTTTAAGGTGGCTGATTACAGAGCAAGATCTCTCCCATTACCCCACACTCTGTGCCCCACATATCCTTGGGAATATTCATCTTTATCATTCAAATCCCATGATCAACCAAGGGTAGAGTCATTTTGCAAGTGTAAGAGAGGGTACTCAGGGAAGTCTATGTGAACAAAGTCAAAATGAATGGCAACTCAAAAGAGACAAGTAGCCCTGTTTCCATAAAAAATGAAATGCACCCTTCTGATTCCAGTGGTGAGGATGGTTTCACAGCCTTCCCCACTTTGGAGTTGCCCATTTGAGGGAGGCTGTGAGCCTCTGATGACGTTGCTACCCCTGTGCACTGCATTTATTGTGTATCTATCCCTGGAAGTTTCTGTAAGTCAAATGCATTTTTTAAATTTTACAATATTGCTTTGCAGCATGGGAGACAAAGCTCTGATCCAGGCAGAGGGTATGTGCACAAAAGACTCTAAAAGACACAATAATAAGGATTTAAAAATAACATGTTCCTTATCTAGTTGCAACTTGATTAAATGGCTTGTTACCCAGAGCATGAATCACTGATGAGCATTAGTTAAATATAGACATGACTTTAAGATAAAACTTATTCCTCTGTTTTTCATATTAGATGTAGGGAATAGTGATTCCATGGAAACAAATACATGATTGTTTTTCCTTATGAAGATAACTTTTGTTAGATATAAGTTCTAAATTTCTTTTCAAAGAATCAATATGTCAGTATGTTCAATTCTTTGCCTTCTACTTTTAAACTTAACTTCTTCATACAGCAACGTTTTTCGATTACCGGCTCCACCCTGACTCATTCCGATTACCTACTCCACCCTGACTCATTCCGATTACCTGCTCTGTCATAAACATTTTTCCTGCCAAACCACTCACCCCGTCATTCTCTTTAAATGAGCCAATCATAATTAGTTTAGCCTGCTCAGTCTAACCCTAGCCGACAGGGGAACGACAGAGCAGCAGGGGCCACGAGTGTCAGGCATAAGAACCCCTTCCCCTCCCTTGTCCAAGTGTGCGCTCCACTGCTCCCTCTGTAAGGGTGCAACCTTCTATAGAAGTATCTTGCCTTGCTGAGAATTAAAAAGAAAATTTTATATTCCAGTGCCATTTATTTTGCGGCACCAAAACTTTACATATAACACTTTGATCTTTCTATTTAATAGAGGACAGTGAGTGACACTTTATGTCTTCTTTTTATTTTTTTCCTTTCCTAATAGTAGGATAGTATTTAGTTTATTGATCCATTCAATAAACATTTATCATGCCTGGTTCTAAGCTTTACGAATAAGAAAAGTTGACGACTATTCAGGAGTTCAGAGTCTATTGGAAAAGATAGCTGTAAAATACAATACTACAACTACTACAATTAAAGTATGAATATATTGCAGTGATCACTGTTTTGGGCTGGAATGTTTCAGAGAAGCGGTAATACTGAATGGGATTTGACGAGTAAAAGGATTTTTCCATTTGAAAGAAGGAAAATCAGCCGGGCATGGTGGCTCACATCTGTAATCCCAGCACTTTGGGAGGCAGAGGCCAGCAGACTACCTGAGGCCAGGAGTTTGAGACCAGCCTGGCCAACTACTCTTTTTAGTAGAGACAGTGCAACCCCATCTCTAATAACAACAACAAAAAAATTAAATTTGCTGGGCATGGTGGCATGCACCTGTAGTCATGGCTACTCAGGGGGCTGATACAGGAGAATCACTTGAACCCGGGAGGTGGAGGTTACAGTGAGCTGAGATCGTGCCACTGCACTCCAGCCTGGGTGACAGAATGAGACTCAGTCTCAAACAAACAAACAAAACAAACAAAACAAAGAAAGAAAGAAAGAAGATGAAGAAGAAGGAGGAGAAGGAGAATGAGAATAAGGAAAATCATTTTAAGAGGACCATGTTTTAAACCAGGAAAGTGTAAAGGATCATGAGTTAAGGGAAATGAAGGTATTAAAAGACAAGGGTATATAGATCACGTGGGAGTCAGGTGGCAAAGGATGGAGATGTGGAAAGGAAGGCGGTTAGCTGGAGAAGGGTGTGCATACTGAAATGGTTGAGTTCATCCTCTGTGGTTATGGGAAACCACCAAATGATTTTGAATAGTGAAATGATCACGTATGTGCTCCACCATACTACTATTTTTGTGGCAGGATAGACAGAATAGCTTTCAAGGAGGCAATGTGGATAAAGGGCACTGTCCCAGGCACTAAGAGAGATGTGAAGTTAGAATGAAAGGAGGCCAATCCCAAAACTGCTATGTGATAACCTGAGCTAAGATGTTGGTTATAAGGATAGAAAAAATTATGAAAGGCTTAAGGGTTTAACTGAGAGACAATCACAATTTATTGACCTTAAGATTTGAAATATATATTTTTTCCATTGGCAGATAAAGAGATATCTCTTCTATGTGGCTTTGAAAATAAGCTTTCATATCACATTTCATGATTAAAATATGATGTCTTAATTTTGCAATTATTTTAGTAATCAGAAATGTATCTAAGGAAAATCATATGATCATAACAGTGTAGCATCCACCCTGAAATTATTCTCTGTTATTGTAAACAATTTAGACATCATGGAAGGCACTAAAAACAAACATTCCTTAAAATGTTACTACATGTCAGGCATAGCAGTGGCTGTTGGAGTTCATTTAAAGATGAATAAAACCTTAATCTCAATCTCCAAAAAACGTATGCTGAAATCCCAAGAAAAATATAAAACATACCTAAAAAGAGATTAGCTTGAAAAACATAATCTTTTTTTAAAATTATTTTTAGTTTAAAATCTTAATCATGGTGCTTATGTTTGAAAGCAATGTGTATTTGTTGGGGGCGTGGGGGGGAATGGTGCATATTTGATCTATTATCTAGCTAGTTTACTGAATATATCTCTTTCCTAGGCACAGATAATCTATAATGATAATTTATCAACATATCTATATCTATAGATAGATAGATAGAGACAGGTCAATTGATCTACATTCATCCTAAGGCTTTACTTTATGATGAAAATATTCATATGGGATCATCGATATTAAAAAAATTTGTCAAGACTTTTCTTAGATAAATTTGTTTTCCTTTAGAGAAATTAATCCAGAGGGCAGGTGTGTGTATGTGTGTGTGTGTGCGTGTGTATGTGTGGTTTGCTGTTGTAACCCCAGTGCACCGTAGGCACTCATTAACTCAGTAAAGCTTTGTTGAACAATAAGGAAATGATGGTTTCACTATACCATACATTTATATGATGTGACACATAGTGTAATCCATACCATGTTACATGCATTCAGCTCACTGAGAATTGAGATCTTTACATTGTATTGAATTAGTGAGTTAAAACTACGCTCAATTAACTGCTGCTCAAGGTGTACCTAAAAATGAATGATCTCAGTCTAAGGAAAGCATTCTGGAATGCTGATGTGACCCTCAATATCATATTCATTTAAAACTATTACATACGCTGACTTAAGATATAGCTTTAGAGATCTCTGCTTATGTAAATTAGTAAAGCTAATTAAAACTTTACTTAAGAGTAAATTTGTTTCACTGCCTAAAGCTGTGCAACAAATTTATTTCACAGGGTTTGTCTTGCCATATTGATATGTTAATGGAATTCAATGAGTATTAAGTACCAAATAGTCCCCTCTCCTGGTATATGTCATAACAAGTTGAAAAATACAAAATGCTATTTCAAAAACTCTTAAGTATTTACAACTAATTTGGGGAAGATAAGTCACATACACATGAAAGTATTATAAAATAGGGAAACTTAAAAATGTCCACCAAAATCAAAGTTCAATTTGGTATGCTAAATTTATTGTAAATCCAATTGATTAGGCAGTTTGATAGGAGTTAAAGAAAAAAACAGTGGACATTTATAGCTATATGAAAGGATACAATGACCCAGAGAGACCATGTGAAGAGAAAAATTAAGGAGGCAAAGACCCAGTCCTCAGGTAATCCAGTATTTAGAAACTGGAAGAGACACAGATGGAAAAAGAGATAAGAATAAAAAGCTGGGAAAGTGGGAGGAAAACCAAGGAGGTATGGTATCCCATAAGCTAAAAAGAGAAAGGGCTTCCAAGAAGGGCTGGCCATAGTTGTTGAATGTGACTGAACAGTCAAGCAATTTGGTGACAGGTAGCGAAGTGTTCATCACCTGTTGGTGAGATGAAACTGATGACCTTCCCAAGAGCAGATTCTACGGAGTTTTAGGGATTGGTCAGTGAATACAAATTAAAGAAGAAAGAGCAAGAATGGCAAGTTTTTGAAAAGTTTTCCTGTGCAGGGAAGCAGAGTAAAGAAATGATAACTCAAGCAAGGAATATGATAGATGAAAACCTTTTTAAGATGTTTGTAGGCTCATTTGCTGATGCAGTGAGAGGGTGAGACTTGAAATAGAAGAGCATCAAGTAAACAAGGTCCTTCAGCAGAAGAGCAGGAATAAAATCCAGAACATAGCTGGATAGTAAATAGAGAGGTACTGTATGAGATATAGCTGTAAAAGTTGACTTTTGTTGCCAAACTGTTGAGAGTGATACACAAGAATTACAGGTTTGGACTTTTTTTTTTTCCACCTGGCAATGAGGAGCTGCTGAATATATTTGAGCAGATGAGAAGGGTTAGAACTCACATCAATGAAGATTAAGCTGCTAGTTGTTATCAGGATGTCCCTGGGGCAATCAGCCTCCAAGATGGACCTTAATCTCTGCCTCTCAATATTCATTTATTCTGGCCTGTGGTGCTCTTCGGTAGTCCCTTCCCACATTGAATAGTGCTGGCTGATAACAACAAATCACATATTGTGGAAATGCTGATTTGTGGCTTCTCTGATTCTCTCAACTGGGTTACTTTCAGATAATTTGTGGAACAGATCTCTTCCTTGTAACTCTCATTTAGTTTAATTGGCACAACCACTACCTTGCTTTGTCTTTTAAATCTAACCTACTTCAAACACAATTAAGTAGAACTCCAGATCCTAAAAACCTAACACAAACTACATCCATGATAATAGGAACTTCAGTTTATCCTGGAAGTTAGGCAAATTAGTTAACAAGCAACCTGCACTTTCTTACTAACATATAAGCAGTTTGTTTATAGCCACAGACAAATCCGAAAACTTTCCTCACTCAGTTTCTACTTTTTTCTTTAAAAGCCCACTTCATTAAGTAAAAGGTTGAGTTTTACCAAATTTATCAAGCCGTATTCTTAATATTTGGAATTCACGTGTGAACAACACAGAAAACTGATGGCTGCTGTTTACAAAGATTTACTGTCTAGAGATTTTATAAAGACCATGAGAACACCCCTTTCTATTGGCAGTATTACAAAGCAGGGTTTTTCACTTAATACAATTTTGGTATTGTCTCTCTTTGATATGAAAGCTGTCCTAGGGTCTTTTAAAAAATAATGATCTTTTAGAAGTCTATAGAAATCATCTATTCTCTAGACCCATTTCTTAAAAGAGCACATTTATGAATTTTTAAAAAATTAGTCAACTTTAAAATAATCTGATAATTTGAATATATCTTATTTTTTTAAGTCTTGCTTTCCTGCTTGATCTACATGCAGAAATAGTACATTGGTTGTCATTTACCAAGTTTAAATATGTGAATTAACTTAATTAGCCTTAAGCTAGTACAATAACACATTATTTATGAAGATAAATCATCTTAACAACAAATAAAAAATTAGAGGGATTATGTCTTTAAAGTATTGATTTTGTCTAATAATTCACAAGGGGGAATCACAGTATCATTAACTATTTTTAGGAAAAGTTTATGCAACCACCTTTATTGAAATGAATACAAGTCTTATACTAATCTCGATAAGGTATGGTCAACGCCCAAATAAATAAATCCTTTGTATGGATGTGTTTTATTAGTATGCTCTAGTTTTCTCTAGTTTAACACATTTAAAAATTATTGTATCTACTAAAGATTATTTTGTCTGTCCTATGTATTGAATTATAGTTTTGGTGTTTAAACAACAACAAAAAAGATGTTTTCTATACCTATTGTTTTAATTTCAAAAGTAGAGCTAAATTATGGTTTAAATAGGGCTTCATAGCCTAATAGGTGAAACAAACCGTGGTTGACAATATTATTTCTACAGAAAAAAAGTGTTATGAGTTCAAGTAGAAGGTATGCAGATGATTTTATGGAAAATAAGATCATTTGGTCCTGTCTGTAATCAGTATGAAACCTGTAGTCTTTGGCCTGTAGTAAAGGGTTGCACAATATGACTCTCTTTTATATTTATATAGAAAGTTATGCCATTTATAAATTTTGCAAGAAACTCCATGAAATTGCTAGCCTGGTGTCCAGGAAATTTCTAGCCTGTAGAGTTCTTGGGGGAATCAGTGCCTCAGACGATGCCGACTACAGTGCTGATTATCAACAGCTTTCACAAAGCCCTCCTTTCCCTTCCCCTACACTCCGTGAAGTCACTATTACATCCTTTCCCAACTTTCACTAATACATTTCTGAGAATAACTACCAAATTTTCACCTCTAACTTTAACATCTTTCTGGACACAGCTGTACAATTCATATTAAATGCTAGATGTCATACAAGCACTAAAATTACATGGCAATCTAAAACCAATTCATCATTTTCTTCTCCAAAACTAGGTTGATCATCTTCCTGAGTTTCCTAAGTTTTACCCCAATAACTCAAATAAAAAACTTAGGATCTTTATGCCTCTCTTTCCTTGGTTTCCCAATTCTGAGTCACAAACCACTTACTTAACAATATATTTTTTAAAATTTATCACATAGGTTGTATCTTATTCGTGACAAAATGACTTATCAGTTATTGCTCTGTAATAATTTTAAGTTGCACCTGAATGGATTTTACTTCTTGTCCCCCCTCTAGTGTGTTCCATGTGCTACCACTACGACAACGTTCTGGAAAATATGTAGGAATTATTTATCCATAATTTTAATTATTAAACAGAGTACATAATTATATAAAGTTCTGTAGAGTCTATAACTAAGAGAACCTTACTGATAAAACTACTAAATGATCTACTACATTTAAGAGGAAATTGAACTTTTTTTTTTTGTTTTTTGGAAACTGATCTTAGAAGGAAGGAGAATCAATTATGAGGAATGCAATTGGTAAAAATCATTGTTTTTTTTTTTTTGGTTTTTGTTTTTTTGAGACAGAGTCTCACTCTGTCACCCAGGCTGGAGTGCAGTAGTGCGATCTCGGCTCACTGCAACCTCTGCTTCCTCGGTTCAAGCGATTCTCCAGCCTCAGCCCCCCAAGTGGCTGGGACTACAGGTACCCGCCAGAGATGGTGTTTCACCATATTGGCCAGGCTGGTCTCAAACTCCTGACCTTGTGATCCACTCGCCTCGGCCTCCCAAAGCACTGGGATTACAGGTGTAAGCCACCACACACAGCCTAAAATCATTTAAAAAAAACCTCACTGGCTATGTGGCAGTGCAGAAAAACAAGGAGAAACTAGAGAATAATAATCTGGTAAATGGGTGGAAAAGATTGGGAGGTAATAAATTAAATTGTCCTAAAATCCTTTTTTTTTCATGATTAAAAGAGAAGTAATCTAAATTATTTCTATTAAAATAATTAAAATTGGAAACATAGTTTTCAAAGCATAAATCAAAAATTGTAAATAAAGGAAATCTCTCAAATTCAATCTAGTATAAAGCAGAAAATTGGTGCAAGAAGCACAGGAAAAGTATACTAAACTGAGTATTACTGTTGAAGGGTTAGGGCGCTTTTTCTGAGAACATAAATCTACCAATATCTCAGACCTAAATTTGAAATAATGTTGCAAGATGATAAAAAGTTAAAGACACTTTACACAATATAATCATGGTCAAATCATTAATAGTGCCTCAATCTCAAAACTATTTAGTAGTTTTTCGTTATCAAGGGCTATGAAGTCAGAGACTGAAAATCTTTGAGTCTCAGTTTTTCATTTGTAAAATGCGAGGATAACTGTTTCAAAATATTTTTAAGAGAACTGGGTTACATCATGTATGTGATGGTAACCTTACACATAGGAGGTATTCCACAATTGATGTTAACTATTATTTTTTTTCTAAGATTTCCATCTCTTTACATAAAGAGATTCAATTTTTAAGAATAAAGTTATGTTATAAAATACATCATATAGGAATAATTTTCTTTCTTTCTTTGTAAAATAAAATGTTTGATCTACATAGTAATAACTTTTAATTTATTAAACACATGAAATGTCTACACTTAACATTACTATGAGAGAAAACAGTGATAGGTAAATCATAGAATTAATCCCCTTGACAGATGAGCAGGATTTTCATGGAAAAAGATGGCAAGACACAAGCTCAGGAGCAGTAGTGAAATGATGATTCTTCTGTTTTATGGTTGGCAGACTCTGCCTCCTGGTGGCTTATCTCTTACATTGGTTTGTCATTTTTCACCATGAGTTCATCATGTGCAGGAGGCTGTGTGTTTAAGTTATCAATTCTTCACTATAGGGCTACAGGTTCCACCTGAAAGATTCCAGGGTCCTACATTTGTTTTAATACTAATTTCTTAGCTCATCATGTCTTCATTATGCAACAGTATACATTTGGATTCCCCACTGAATCACTTGTACAAATTTGGGTTTTCTAGTTATATCAGAGACGTTTCAGCCCCCATACAAGATTCCTGACAGGTGACAAACTTCTTTATTCTTTTCCTTTCTGGTTGATGGGGTTTTTCCAGTACCCCTTCAATTGATTAAGTAGTTTAATTGATGGAGGTTAAAAGCTCATTGCTGTCATTTAAGAGAGTACATAATATTATAAACTTGTATTTATGTATTTGAGACCGAGTTTCGCTCTTTCACCCAGACTGGAGTGCAATGGCGTGATTTCGGCTCACTGCAACCTCCACCTCCCGAGTTCAAGTGATTCTCCCACCTCAGCCTCCCGAGTAGCTGGGATTACAGGCCCATGCCTGGCTAATTTTTGTATTTTTAGTAGAGACAGGGTTTCACCATGTTGGCCAGGCTGGTCTTGAACTCCTGAATTCAGGTGATCCACCCACCTTGGCCTCCCAAAGTGCTGGGATTGCAGGTGTGAGTCACTGCACCCAGCCATAAACTTCTTAATACCATTACATGTTATACAATTTACTTAAGTAATGATCAATGTAAAGATATGAAAAACCATGAGTGAACAGTCAGTTGTCCCACAAGGCTTATACTTTAATTTTTTAACAGCTTACACATTTAATCAGAAAGTTTTGGCAGTTGCAACATTTTTTCCATCCATGAACTTAATATAGCTCTATAATTAAAATTTTCTCTTACCAAGCTCCAAATCACTGCTATGCTTAAAGAATTCTAGGAAAATACTAGTGTCCCTTGGTTGTTTGCCTGCTAAATGTTGGGTAAAGGCTGTGTGTGGAATTAGTAAACCTTTGAGTCCTAAACCTTGACAGGTAGTCTGGGGTGATAGTTAAGCGCTCGGATCCTGGAACTGGACTGTCTGGAGTTGTACTCCAGCTCAACCACTTACTAACATTAAAAAGTTAATGAGTTCTCTGTAACTTAGTTATCTGATCTGCATAAAGTATGATCATGGTAGCTTTTTTGCACTTATTATGCACATTAAATAAGATCATGTAGTTAGAAGAGTGCTTAGTTCATAGGAAGAGATGAATAAGACTTAGGTACCATTAATTGTTCCATTAAGCAAACATTTATTAATTGCCCATTACGAGCCAGGCTGTGTTTGGATAATACTGGTATTAGAGAGCACCAGGGAAATGCTAGCTGCTGCTGCTGCTGCTAGTGGTAGTTTTTGGAACTAAGCATATGTATTCACAAACCCAACTATTTTAGTTTGTGTTCTTCATATCTTTACCTAGCTGACCTAAAAAAGGCAACCTCATGGAGTCTGAACAATATCTTCTCGAAAGCTTGAATTTTATATTTTCAGGATTGGGTCACACATCATTGTGGACAATTGCTACATAATATTTTAAAACCACTCTTTCACTTACTGCTGCCTAAGAGAATGGCCTGATATTTAAAGTCTTCTCATTCAAAAAGTCGCAGATTTCATATTATAATAATCCTGCATTTGGTGAAAATATTTTTCTGAAAAAGAAATTATAGCACATTTACCAAAAATGCCCAATTAAGAGTGAATAAAATGGAAAAAATCCACATGGTCATATAGCTTATCAAGATGAACTATATTACTAGGCAACATTTATGTCAAAAAGATTCATTTATGTTCTTGTACACAAATTCAGTTTTTGACATAGTAGATGTCTAAATCTGTATATTCTGCACTATCCAATAAGCTAAATGGAATTTCTAGAATATTAGTTAATCATGTATTTGCTACTACCTTGCAACATTTATTCTTGACTCTTCCTAAAGTAGGTCCTCACTAAACACTTGATAAAGATAAAAAAAAAAAAAAGGAAGGAAGGAAGAATGGATGGAGGGGAGGGGAGGAGGGGAGGGAGGGAGGAAGGAAGTTGTTCACTAGCTTCTGTCTACCTCTACTTTCCTAGCGTCCATTATCAAGGTTATTCCCTGAAGTGCACAATGTTCACACTTAGCTGAGAGATTTAATTTAGATTTTCAGAGGTCAAGACCTAGGCTTGTACTATCCAAGTTTTTTGGTTTGAAATGCCTGACTACAGCTTCATTCCAGAGTACAAATTATTTCATCTATACGTTTTAAGTAGTGAGAAAAATGACTGTTTTCTAGACTTGAGGTTCATGAAGACCGCCTTGAGGTTCATTCAGAGTGGTTTGCAATGAGGTGAATAAAAAATCTATACTAAACTTGGGCGTGAGATATCAAAAACTATTTATCATACTAAATCTAGCTTAAATCTACAACTTGACATTGGATAATATAGGCAATATGAAAAGCATAAAGTACAAAAATAATACATTTGGAAAATGTTTAAGAATTGCTTAAATGAGGGTAAAACTGACAAAAAACTATAAGCAGTCATGGACGTTATCCATGTAGTAATTACGTGACATGGCTTGGAACAGACACAGAGCAAGCTACTAATTAACTAAAACCTGAAATGTCAATGACTAAGATTATTTTCTTGTCCATTTTGTGATGATATTGTGGACTACAGATTTTACAGATCTAAACATATGTCATGATCACCACATATTATATGTATCAAAATATCACTATGCACCCCATGAATATGCATATTATTTTTCAACTAAAATTAAGTTAAATTAAAAATAAAAAAGAAGATGGAGATGCTTTTACATTGTACAAATTGGAAGTAAATTTTGGCTATATAAAAGCTAAATGAAACTAAATCACTACTAGAATGTAAATTTAACATAATTATTTTTATTTAAAGTTCTTATTGTGAGATAACTATGAATTCACATGAAGTTTTAAGAAATAATATGGAGCAATCTCAAAATATCTTTTATCCAGTTCCCCCAATGGTAATGTCTTTCAAAACTAGAGTACAATATCATAACTAGGATATTGACACAAATACAGTCAAGATACAAAACATTTCAATTACCACAAGGATTGATAATATTCTTCATGTTACTCTCTAATAGCTGTACCTGCTTTTCTCCTATCCCATTTCCCTCCTTAACTTTTTGCAATCCCTAATATGTTATCTATTTATTTTCATTTATTTTTTTTAAAGATGGGGTCTCACTCTGTTGCCGAGGCTAGAGTGCATTGGCATGATCATAGCTCACTGCAGCCTTGATATCCTGAGCCCAAGTGGTCTTCCTGCTCCAGCTTCCCAAAGCACTGAGAGTACAGGTGTAAGCCACTGCACTCACCCAGCCTGTTATCTATTTCTGAAGGAATTCGGTCATTTCAAAAATGTCATATGAATGGAATCAAAAAATTAGTCACTTTTTGGAATCCTCATCTTTCAGTCAATCTGATTTTTTAGTGATTCATCCAGGTTGTTGCATGCAATAGTTTGCTCTTTTTCATTGCTGAGTGGTATTCTATGGTATGGATGTACCACAATTTATTTAACCATTCACTCACTGAAGGCCATCTGGGTTGTTTCTAGATATTGGCTGTTACAAAGAATGTTGTTGCTAGATAATGGCTAGTACAGTTAACAGAATGCTGTTATAAACATCTGTGTACAGGTATTCATGTGAACATAAGTCTTCATTTCTCTGGGATAAACAACTATCAGTGCAACTGCTGGATTATATGGTATTGCATGTTTAGTTTTTGGTTTATTTGTTTTTGAGAAACTGCCAAACCCTTTGTTACAGAGTTTCTATACCATTTTATATTCTCAGGAGCAATGTATAATGATTCAGTATCTCTATATCCTCCCAAGCACTTGGTATTGACGTTATTATCATTTAAATTTTTTTCACTATTCTGGTCGGCGTGTAGTGATATCTCACTGTGGATTTACCTTGTATTCCTCTAATGTCTACTGATGTTGAAAACCTTTTCATGTTTTTGTTTTGCCAACTGTATATTCTTTTCAGTGAAATGTCTCTTTATATCTTTTGCCCATTTTCTAATTGGATTGTTTAATTTTTTTGTTAATGCATTTCACTAATGTATGATTTTCTTTGTTTGAATATATCACCGATTATTTAATGGAGTTTATCTATTCATTGCAAGGATAGAATATATGACTCCTTTAAAAAACTCAAAGGAGAGTCAAATCTGAAGTCAAGGATCAAGGCTGGGAACTAGAATGTGCTTATGAAGAGAAACCACGTGTGAAGTTTGATACTTGTCTCTCCTTTTGTGTTGAAACTGGCCCAATTTTCCAACAAGCCAGATGCCCATAGAACTGAAGATTGAGAAACCTACAGTTTCACCTACAGATGCACCTGTCGCCTGCTGACCAATTCCTATTCCTTACCCTTCCCTAATTCCTGTTTTCCTTCATGTGGTTACCATGAGACACTAGACCCTTCATTCAAGCACCTGCTGCCTGTTGACCAACTTCTCTTCCTTTCCCTTCCTGTTTTCCTTCCCATCTATATAAATCCTTTACTTGGGGAGGAGGAATGGAGCTGAGGTTTGACTATCATCTCTCTGGCTGATGTTACCCATAATATAATAAAGCCTGGCAATACTCATTGTTTCAGTGATTGGCTTTCCGTGAGGTAAGCAAGGGAACCTAGACTGAATCCATGGTGTTTGGTAACAGTGTTATGGAAACACCCATTTTCAGGGTGTTTCAAAACTCTCTGCTTTGAACATTTTTGCTTATACCTCTTGGACACACAGATAAGCATTTCTTCTAAAGAACATACAAAGGAGGAACATAGCTATGTAACAGGATAATATGTGCAGCTTCAATATCACTTACTACTGCCAAATTGTTATTGTTTTACCAATTTATACTACTGCCAAAAGTATACTAAATTTTTAATTGTTTGTTCCACATCCATAGGAATCCTTGGTATTAGCTTTTTAACTTTTGCTCAACATTTGGGTATTTAGAGTTTATTTGCATTATCCTGATCACTATAGTGGTAGGGCATCTTTTTATAGGTTTATTAGTTGCCTTTTCTATTTCCTCTTAGGTGTGATACCTATGTATGTCTTTTGTCAATTTGTCTATGCTTTAGCAATTAGAAGTTCTTTATTTTTTATTTTTATTTTTATTATTTTTTAAGAAACAGGGCTTGCTCTGTTGCCCAGACTGGAGTGCAGTGGCACAATCACAGCTCACTGCAGCCTTGAACTCCTGCGCTCCAGTGAGCCTCCCACCTCAGCGTCCTGAGTTGTTGGGACTACAGGTGCACACCACCACATCTGGCTATTGATTTTTATTTTATGTTATTTTTTTGTAGTGATAGGGTCTGCCTATGTTTCCCAAAGTGGTCTTGAACTCCTGGCTTAAAGGAATCCTTCTGCCTCAGCTTCCCAAAATGCTGGGATTACAGCTGTGAGCCACCATGCCTGGCCAGGGGTTATTTATAGAGGCAGTAGTATATGGTGGTTACAAGCACAGGTACTGAGGCTTAAATCTTGGGATTTGATCCATGCTCATAGAAGCCAGATTCCAGAATTGGGGCGTGGGGAGTAGAGTCAAGACTAAAGGTAGAAGAGTTGGAATTCATCAGGAAGACAGTCCTCTCCTCATTTAAGACAGGAAGCAGCACATGTGTTTGGTGGTGGAAGGTATACACGAGGGTTCTATATGAAAAACTAAAAAAAATCTGATATATTAATCATCAGATTATCCTCCTATTTTGTGTTTTTATGGAGAAGTTGGCACTCCAATAACAAGTGAGGGTGTTGTATTTTTTCTCACTAAAGAGCTAATAAGCGAGTTGTGTATGGCACTATGTCATCTTAATGCTCTTCTGTGAGATAGGGTCATTATTTGAACATTCACCATGTGTGAGAACGGCAGAATGTTATTTATTTATTTATTTATTTATTTTTAAAGAATACGTCAACAGATCTCAATGCCCTTTATTTGCTTTAAAAACAAACATTTTCGTTTTCCTTGGATATTTATTCGTCATGAATAACTCACCCGCTGACAACATTCACCCTTTCTAACATTATCTCCTAAATGACAGACACCCTTAGCCAGGTTACCGGAGGCAAACAATAACAGCTTGTGCTCTAAGCTTAACACCTGACGGGATCTCATCGAGGCCCAGCTATCACTGAACACAGGCATGAAGTTTAATGAACACCCATCCAAACAGACAATGTGTGAGAATAAACACATAGAACGAATTCTGGCATTAAGTGAAAGGGCATTTAAATGGAAATACAATGAAAACTCCTGTTCAGAAAAGTAATAGATCGCACAGTTTTAGATGATACAGATACTAATGCAGTCTATTTTAAGAACACAACTAAACAAATATTCTGAATTTTACTTTTTCTCCCTTTCCTATGCTTACATTTCATGAAGGATTAATTTTAGAAAACTTTACCTAAAGTGTGTTAAATGCTTTATAGTTTCCAAAGCACTCTCTCTTCCACTGGTATAGCATTTGGTGGCCCTGAAAACAATTTGCAACTCATGTTATAATCATCATTTTACATATGTAAAGAAAGTGGCTTATGGATTCTAAATAATTTGCCCAAGATAATGAGTAGTAAGCGGCAGAGTTGACATTCAAATCCAAGTCTGTCTCCAGCTACATGACCAGTGATCTTTTGTCACATCTAGGAGCCCACTGTGACATTCTGTGGCTAAACACCTCATACTTCAGGAAATAAACTCTATAGGTCAAACGGTCTTCATCGCTCCAGCAAAAAGGAAAAAAAAAAATGCATCCTAACGCAAAAGTAATCCCTATGTTTAGTGAGTGGTGTTATCTGAAAATGGAGTCTATGTATGCATTGGAAGAATAGAACATGTGGCTCCTTTAAAAGATTCAAAGGAATGAGTCTAGGAACTAGGATATGTGTATGGAGAGAATCTATGTGTGAAAGTTTGATATCTGATTTTCCTTTTGTACTCTGAGTACAGCCATATTCTGGGTTCTAAGATTCTAATTAGGATCAACACTTCTGTGAAATCTATAACATGTAAATAAGCCTTGTGTTGGTGTTTTTGTTTTGAACTGATGGATGGGACCAAAGAGAGATGTGGTTTTCCTCCCATTGAATCTTTGTTGAAAACAGTATGTTGATTATAGCAGATGATCAAGTCAGGGGTCTCAGACTCTCAGGCAGCAACTAGAACAGAATAATCGATGGCCAAAACTATTGTTGGAAGTTGCAGGGAAAAGTACACAATGCTGAGAAGCAGTGCACAGTAAACAACTCTGTGGTAGATATAAAAATAATCTCAAAAATACAAGAGAATGGTGGGACTTCAAAGAGGGAGAGGAGGTGACCCTTCTTGTTGAACATAAATTTCCAGAAAAGGTAATAATTTTGTTCATATTTCTCCTTCTACATTCTACCAGTAGTTCTAACTTCCTTCATGCAAAATAACAAATAAGATGTTGACGCATTCTTACCAAATTAAGAAATATTTAGAAAGTTGAGGTAACGTGTATATATGCAAAACACCACTTCATTTCAATGCCTCATTTCTAAGTTTGATTATTTTCACAAATTCTGCCTTTCACAGGTTTTTTTGTTGTCATGAAAAACCTACTAAATAAAGTGCTACTTCTCTTCATGAATATACAAAGGACATGCATTTTCATGGATGCATTTATAAGAAGTTACAAGGAAAAGCAACTAGTACATTTGCTTTCTCTTCTCTGTGCATAGAATTTCGTATATTTTCAGAGCTCACCATATATGAGAAGATGCAAATGGATATATCCAGTACTCTGTTATGTATAATGATTCTGATCCAGGTGTTCACATTGAAGTTATTAAATTTAACAGAAATTTTCTGGAGTGCTATTTTTTAAACAAATTATTTCAGAAACAGAATTTTAAGTAATGTGCAGTATGTGTGTGCAAAATGAGTGAAGTGATATAAAACAATCACTTCCCCAGAGGTCTAGGAAAACAAAGTGACTCTATTATGGATATGTCACTTATTTGCCACCATTGATTGTTTTCCTACTCAATGATCTGGCTATATTTACATTAATAAAATTTTCTAAAATATTTAACAGTGCTGAAGCTACTTAGAAAAAAACACATATATTTGTGGCTTGGAAGTTTACAGGAAAATAAGTGGAAGATTTTCAAGGGAGCAACATACATCAGAAACTTCTAATATGAAATAGAATATACTACATCTTAGTCAAAGATAAATTATCTGTAGTTCCAGGTCAACACTCTGCCCTTAATCATTCTACAAGGCATAAAAAAATTTTAAGTACGGAGATATCTGCTTAAAATTATTGTACGAGATTTTTTCCTAATGATGTTTATTACTACATGGATAAAGTAATAATAAAAAAAGCATAAGTGCATTCTGAAATCACTGCAAACCATCTATCTATAAAAATAAAACTGTTCACAATCTCCCTACATCTAAGGAAACATAGTAAATTGTAAAAGTTTTACTTATATGCTCCCATTGTATTTTGTGTTCAAATGGAAAAACAAAATAAAAAGTATTTTTTTCTCTAAGCTTTACTATATTTTTAGTTTATCTTCTGCTTAGACATTTTTTAAAAACCTCACAAGAAACAAAATTGCTTAGTAAAAAGCTTAACGTGTTTAATGCCATTTGAAGTATTATTTTCTGCTTTTCACAATACATGTTTTCTTAT